>NC_000006.12:13241818-13393333 GCF_000001405.40 Homo sapiens
TTCAAGACCAGCCTGGCCAACAAGGTAAAACCCCATCTCTACTAAAAATGCAAAAAAAAAAAAACCTAGCCAGGTGTGGTGGCACAGGCCTGTAGTCCCAGCTACTTGGGAAGCTGAGGCAGGAGAATCGCTTGAACCCAGGAGATGGAGGTTGCAATGAGCTGAGTTTGCACCACTGCACTCCTCCGGTCTGGGCAACAGAGTGAGATTCTGTCTCAAAAAAAAAAAAAAAAAAAAGGAATAAGTAATGCTAGTTGCCCTAACAGGAAAATCCTAAATCCCAGTCACCTAAAGCAGCAAAGGTTTATTTCTCACTGGAGTTAAGCCTAATGTGGATCTGGTAGCCTTGATCCGTCAGATAGCCATTACATGCTTCTAGAACACATGACTCCAATCTCAATAGCAAGGGAAGAGCAGGCAGAGGAGGCACACACATCACTTCTGCTCACAGTCCATTCATCAGAACCCAATCTCACTTCAAGGGAGTGTGGAAAACATAGAGAAGCACACGCAGTGTTGGATGAGCGTAAAGGACCTTTTCCACAATTCCACTGAGCCTACAGTTGCCACACAGGTCTTTAGGTCATGATTCTTGCACTTGTGTAAAGGGACTGTCACAGCTATAAGAGACTTGATTAAAAGACTTTCCACAATTAGCAGTTGGAATTCAGGGGCACCAGGTACATCTGAATGGAGCATATCACCTGGATTGCCAGAGGGGTCTGTCTTGGGGCGAGTACATGGAGGTCACTAATGCCCATGGTCTATATCAATGAATTTGCACCTAAGGCTAAGTTTAGTAAAGCAACTTATGGAAATCAAAATGATCTCAATTTGAGAAAACAGACTCAAAAAAATCAACATTGCTTTTGCTTTAAAGGAAAAACTAGCTTAACTACAACTGAGAAATCACAAAAAGGAACAGTGGACTTTGAGCTCGAGTGAGTTTGTTTTATATGAGTTTAAGGTTAAATTTCCAGGGAAACAAGTTACTAAGGGAGAACATGGGAACCTCAGCTTCAGCCAGTTGATTCAGTTGGAAACTATTGATTAAGCACCAACTGTGTGCACAGCTCTGTAATGGGTGTTATTTAAAAGGTAGCTAGATAATTATGCTTCTCAGAAGGTTTAGATGAGTGAGTCAAAGTATGCTTACTGTTTTCTGCTTTCAACTGGAAAAGACACAGCAAGTTCCATGAAGAAGGCGCAGATCTCTCTGTAGCAAATTCTTTTATGGGTGTGAATGTATTTTAGATTATTTCTCTTGCCATTTTTTTTTCCTTTAAAATATCCCCCAAAAGAATGGGAATGAGTCAGGGCTCTGATCATGTAAACACTGAATAATCTGAACATCTGATTCTGAGGTTTTTTTCCTCTTAAACTTGTGCATTAATGTGAACAACTTCAACTTGAGTTGTCAGACCACTTTTTTTTTTTTTTTTGCGAGATGTTCTTTTTTTCTTTTCTACAACCTTATAACCACTTATGAGCTTAAAACAGCCACAAAGATGTGTCATTTCTCTCATAATTTTACCATGAAAGGATTTCTCAGTCACTTGTGAACTTACCAGGAGGCAATGAATAAACTCTGATTTAAATCATTTTATGAAGCATCCAAATAATGGCCTAAACCTTGGTTAAAAGGTGATTTTACTGCAGGGAATATTCAAATATCTCATCTAGGCCTTTCAGACTGGCTCAGAGATTTTTGTCACTGTGTGGACCTTGGGCCTATGACTTGTTGGAAACTCTTTAATGAGTTTCTTTTAAAAGAAAAAAAAAACCTTAGGTTCAAGGGTACACGTACAGGTTTATTATAGAGATAAATTCCATATAGTGGGGGTTTGGTTTACAAATTATTTTGTCACCCAGGTAATAAGCATAGTACCTGATAGGTAGTTTGGTAGTTTTTTGATCCTCAACCTGCTCCTACCCTCCACCCTCATGCAGGCCCCAGTGCCTGTTGCTTCCTTTTTTGTGTCTTTGTGTACTCAGTGTTTAGATCCTACTTGTAAGTGAGAACATGTGGTATTTGGTTTTCTGTTCCTGTGTTAGTTTGCTAAGGATGATGGCCTCCAGCTCCATCAGTGTTACTGCAAAGAACATGATCTCATTCTTTTTTATGGCTGCATAGTATTCCATGGTGTATATGTACCACATTTTCTTTATCCAGTCTGCCATTGATGGGTATTTTTTCAGGGGACCTGCCCCGATAATCACGTAGGTTCTTTTCTAGTTTCCCTAAGCATCGGCTGGCTTGAGAAATAAAGGGACAGAGTACAAAAGAGAGAAATTTTAAAGCTGGGCGTCCGGGGGAGACATCACACGTTGGTAGGATCCATGATGCCCCACAAGCCACAAAAACCAGCAAGTTTTTATTAGGGGTTTTCAAAAGGGGAGGGAGTGCGCGAATAGGTGTCGGTGACAGACATCAAGTACTTAACAGGGTAATAGAATATCACAAGGCAAGTGGAGGCAGGGCGAGATCACAGGACCACAGCTGCCAGGCGAAATTAAAATTGCTAATGAAGTTTCGGGCACCATTGTCATTGATAAAACATCTTATCAGGAGACAGGGTTTTGAGATCAACCAGTGTGACCAAAATTTATTAGGTGAGAATTTCCTCTTCCTAATAAGCCTGGGAGCGCTATGGGAGACAAGTTTATTTCACCCCTGCAGTCTCAACCATAAGAGACAGGTACGCCCCGGGGGGCCAGTTCAAGTTCAGAGACCTAACCCTAGCTGCACATTCTCTTTCTCAGGGATATCCCCTGCTGAGAAAAAGAATTCAGCGATATTTCTCCCATTTGCTTTTGAAGGAAGAGAAATATGGCTCTGTTCTGCCCGGCTCACCGGCAGTCAGAGTTTAAGTTTCTCTCTCTTATTCCCTGAACAATTGCTGTTATCCTGTTCTTTTTTCAAGGTGCCCACATTTCATATTGCTCAAACACACATGCTGTACAATTTGTGCAGTTAATGCAATTATCACATAGTCCTGAGGCGACATACATCCTCCTCAGCTGACAGGATTAAGAGATTAAAGTAAAGACAGGCATAGGAAATCACAAGGGTATTGATTGGGGAAGTGATAAGTGTCCATGAAATCTTTACAATTTATGTTTAGAGATTGAGTAAAGACAGGCATAAGAAATTACAAAAGTATTAATTTGGGGAACTAATAAATGTCCGTAAAATCTTCACTATCCATGTTCTTCTGCCATGGTTTCAGCCGGTCCCTCTGTTTGGGGTCCCTGACTTCCCGCAACAGTATTTAGGTTGATTCCATGTCTTCACTGTGGGCAGTGAATAGTGCTGTGATGAACACACATGTGCATGTGTCTTTATGGTAGAATGATTTCTGTTCCTTTGGGTATATACCCAGTAACGGGATTGCAAGGTCGACGGGTAATTCTGTTTTAAGTTCTTTGAGAAATAGCAACTGCTTTCCACAATGGCTGTTTACAATCCCACCAGTAGCATGTAAGCATTCTCTTTTCCCCACAACCTTGCCAGCATCTATTATTTTTTGACTTTTTAATAATAGACATTCTGACTGGTGTGAGATGATATGTGGTTTTGATTTGCATTTCTCTAATAATTAATGATGTTGAGCATTTTTTCATGTTTGTTGGCCACATGGATTTCTGTTTTTGTAAAGTGTCTGTTCATGTCCTTTTTAATGGGGTTGTTTGTTTTTTGCTTGTAAATTTAAGTTTCTTATAGATGCTGGATATTAGACCTTTGTTGGACGTATAGTTTGCAAATATTTTCTCCCATTCTGTAGCTTGTCTGTTTACTCTGTTGACAGTTTCTTTTGCTGTACAGAAGCTCTTTGGTTTAATTAGGTGCCATTTGTCAATTTTTTTTTTCGTTGCAATTGCTTTTGGCATCTTCATGAAATCTTTGCCAGGTCTTGTGTTCAGAATGGTATTTCCTAGGTTATCTTCCAGGGTTTTTATAGTTTTAGGTTTTAAGTCTTTTAATCTATCTCGAGTTGATTTTTGTATATGGTGTAAGGAGCAGGTCCAGTTTCAATCCCCTGCATATAGCTAGCCAGTTATCCCAGTTCTTTGGTGAGTTTCTTCACCCACTTCACAACTGTATCATTAGGATCTCAGAGTGTAATAGAACATTTTAGAACTTAAATGGACATTTACTATCACTGCATCTAGCCTTAATTTTACAGGTAAATGGCTGATAGAGGCTACACTACTAGCCAAGTTCACACAGTAATTTCTGACAAACTAGGATTTAAAATAAAGTCCTCTGACCCAGTCGGTGCTTAAAATTAATATCTCTCAAAAAAGAGAGAGAAATAGATCATGTTTTACTGGAATAAACAGGCCAGTTGTTAGTTAGCAACCATAACAACTCATATATCTTCGTTGATTTTCTCAAAAGAAAAATAAATAATGTGGAGGTTTTGAATGAAATCTTTAAAAAACATATTCAGTTATCAAAAGGCCCATGTAAAAGGAATCCTTGAATTCTCCCACAGATACATTCTTTCACGGCCACCATGATCTTCCTTGATCCCACTTAGCCAAAAGAACACTGAAATTAAATGTGCGAGCGAAAGATGTTTCCCTACCTGGATGGCTGATGGTTCATTACAGCTGAGCAAAGTCTCATTAATCATTTTGAAAACTAGGCAGGTACTCTGGAAAATTCTTTTGCTGGTACCTTAATTTAGAGTTGGCCTATTCTTGTGATTCTTTCAAATGATAAGTGAAACTCTAATCATGTATACTTATTAAGAATTATCTGTTCTTTGTTTCAGTGGTGAAGTTGGCATTTCCAGTCTATAATTTCCATTGCATATAGTGCTCTTTCTCCCTCACCCACCAAATTTGGCTTCAGGCTTGATGGGATGTGATTTTTCTGTAGCCCCTATACAGAGCTTGCACATGGACCTGAATATTTAAAGAGCAGAACGAGATTACAACTGAGAAATTTGCAGTACAGTTGTTCTTCACGTGTCCCCATGTATCTTTGTTTACTGGCAAAACACCTCGAATCTCATGCAAAATGCTAATAGGAATAATTCATTTTATTTATCTTCATTATGATCATTTCACTCCTCTTGGGATGCCAAGACTTTTATAATGGCCTCAAAAATTGCATACATGCCTAACTAAATAGTAATTTTGAGGCAGAATGTAAACAGGGAAAAGCATCCAAAGATACAACCCTGGAAAATCACTTTTCCTCTAATTCTAAAAGCAATTCCTTTGAAATATAAGTGAATACACTTCTATTTTAGGAAGTGTGTTCATGAAAATTTGATCTTCTGTGCCCTTCAACTCATTAAAACAACAGTTATTCAAAATGGGCAGCCTCTTTAGTGTCTTTGAAAAGAAATAGGTAGACAGATAAACAGTGGGTGCAGACAGGTCATCAGTGTATTGAAAAGAGGTTTGCCTCTCCTGTAAATCCAACCGTCCTTTCGACTGTTAGGATTTTCCTCATTTTGCTAATCTTCACATTGTAACTTATCAAGTTCCCTCGTGTGTGTGTGTGTGTGTGTGTGTGTGTGTGTGTGTGTGACGGAGTTTCATTTTTGTCCCCCAGGCTGGAGTACAGTGGTGCCATCTCGGCTCATTGCAACCTCCGCCTCCTGGGTTAAAGCGATTCTCCTACCTCAGCCTCCCAAGTAGCTGAGATTACAGGCGCCAGCCACCATGCCTGGCTAATTTTTGTATTTTTAGTAGACACGGGGTTTTACCACATTGGCCAGGCTGATCTCGAACTCCTGACCTCAGGTGATCCGCCCGCCTTGGCCTCCCAAAGTGCTGGGATTACAGGTGTGAGCCACCGTGCCCAGCCCAAGTTCCCTCTTAAAAGATGCCAAGACAGATAATTGCATCTTCCTATACACTAACATGACATTGTGGAAGCTAGGCATGCACCTATAGCCCCAGCTGCTCGGGAGACTGAAGCTAGAGAATCACTTGAGGTCAGGACTTCGAGGTTGTAGTCTGCGATGATCAAACCTGTGAATAGCCACTGCACTCCAGCCTGGGCAACATAGTGAGACCCTGCCTCTTTAAAAAAAAACAAAAATTTTAAATGACGTTATGAAGGAGCTACCATCGACAAATTTGGTTCAACCAATGAATCTACCACCTGCCCATTCTACCCAAAGAAGCCTGGTTAATGTGGCATTTCAGGTGAAGCCCTCAGCACATCCTCCTTCAATTACTCGGCACTGCCTTTATATTCATGGAACTGTGAGCAGGCAGCTTCTCCCTGAAGCCTGCCATATCAGTACAGCACATCCTTGAAGCATCTCTGCTGAGCAGCCTTGGCCCTCGTTGTGGTGGTTCTCTGTCAAGTTTCCCTCTCTCTTCACAGTTCTTAATGAACAGAGCCATCTGGGGCCACAGCCTGTGAAATCTGATTCTCTTCCCACAGTCAGCAAACAGAGCCACTGGGATATGCTCAGGCAGCTCCCAGGAGGAAACCGTAAATGCATATAGCTTTGTCTAGGCAGAAATAAAGTGAGCTCATTCATTCAAAACAAAACAATGAAAAACATTGTATCACGTCAGCTGCAGGCTACCTAATTAGTTAAAATGTATCATAAATGTGTATCACATATTAAGTGATCTCTATGCATTAATTTGTTGATAATATAGCATCGAGGTATTTATAAAATTCTATGGAACATGTTTTGAACTTGAAAACTCGTCATTTCTATAAAATCTTTCAAACTGCCTGTTTGGCAAATAAACTTGATATAGGGGGAAATTCTGGTCTCTTGTGTGTGATCACGGTTATCCTCATGTTGAGGTGATCGCAAAGCCCCAAAGTGAGAGACCCTGTTAGAGGAGATAAATCATCATTGTAAGGCCAATTAGTAGACGGGGCAATAACTCATATTGGGAGAAGCATGCCTTTAGCTGCCGTAAGTGGAGGAACTCACAGCTGCAGCCACATCCCTGCAGCTCTGATCTGACTGCAGAGCTACCAAAAATCTAATCTGCATGTGTGGGCTAAAGCACAAGCAAGGGACAGAAGACTGGAAGCCACAGCGGAGAGAAAGTTGGCATAAAAAGCACTCTGCAAACATCAAAATCGCGTGCCAACTAAGCAAAGCCAATGCATAAGCTATAATGTCTTCTAGATATTTTATTGAGAGTGATAAGGATGATGAAGAACGAGAGGAGGAGAAGTTAGGTCTTCCGTCCTCCCTTGCCAGCCACAGTTCCTAACTGTACCATTTTTAAAGGTTTGATTAACTGTTCGTGGCTTATCAGCATTATTCTTTGCAGCCTTTTGGCCATGCTCGTGTAGGGGTGCCCAAACCCCCAGGCTGTGGACTGGTATCAGTCTGTGGCCTGTTAGGAAACAGGCCCCACAGCAGGAGATGAGTGGCGGGAGTGAGCATTACTGCCTGAGCCCTGCCTCCTGCCAGATCAGTGGCGGCATTAGATTCTCAGAACTGTGCATGTGAGGGATCTCGGTTTCACGTTCCTTATGAGACTCTAACTTACGCCTGATGATCTGAGGTGGAATCACCCCAACCCCTGAAACCACCTTGCCCCCAAACCCCCATCCATAGAAAAATTGTCTTCCATGAAACCAGTCCCTGGTGCCAAAAAGGTTGGGGACAGCTGGTCTAGTGTGTTAAAGGCCCCAGAAGATTACATTTTTCTGGTCAGGGGTATGAACTACACTAAAATGTGTGGTGATTAAGCCGGGCGTGGTGGCTCATGCCTGTAATCCCAGCACTTTGGGAGGCCAAGGCAGGTGGATCACCTAAGGTCAGGAGTTCAAGACCAGCCTGGCTAACATGGTGAAACCTCATGTCTACTAAAACTACAAAAATTAGCCGGATGTGGTGGCAGGCGCCTGTAATCCCAGCTACTCAGGAGGCTGAGGCAGGAGAATCACTTGAACCTGGGAGGCGGAGGTTGCAGTGAGCCAAGATTGCACCACTGCACTCCAGCCTGGGCAACAGAGAAAACTCCGTCTCAAAAAAAAAAAAAAAAAAAAAGTATGGTGACTAAAGAATCACCTATTTCATTTTTCATTGGGAAACCAAAATAATTTCCGTCTTGTAAGTTATGACCATTTATGTGGTTCTGCTCCACTGGCTGATGCTTCAAGGAAATAGTTTTCAGACATTGGTGACACTCCATGGTAGGGGCCCACCAGTTGTGGCCCACAGACTGAACCCACCCCACTCTCTGTCTTTGTCAATAAAGCTTTATTGGAACACAGTTACACTCATTCATTTACCTGCTCTCTGTGGCTGCTTACACACCATAATGGCAGAGTTGAGTAGCTGCAACAGAAACTGTATGGCCCACAAACCCAAAGTATTTACTATCTGGCCCTTTGAAGAAAAAAGAAATGAGACATTTAAGGACCTAGACTGAGGACATTAGAGAATGTGGCCTTCCTCTCACAGTGCTGATCCTAGATCTATTTAGAAAGTGCATGTGCCCGAAATATCTCCATTAGAGAAAGAAACTAAATTCATCCTCACACACATAGGGATTTCCTTTGTGCTCATTACTCTAATCATCAAAATAATCCCATTTACCTTTACTTCTTAGTCCAGATCCGCCTGTGAAGCATCATATAGCATACAGATTATGCTGGGAATACGGTCCAGTTTTTCAAACTTGATTTATTACCTGAGCAGTTAGAAAAGCTACTTCAAGGACAACCAGGTATCATTGAAAGCAGCTCAGCTCAGCTGCCGGCCAGATAAGAAGGGGCTGGCTGTGCAGACAGACTGAGAGAAGGAATCTGTGTAAGCAGAAAATGTATGTTGTCCTTAAGAAAGGAAGGCCACAGCCATGCCATGCAGGCTTAGCTTGAAAATAAATATCAGCAGGTGTGAGAAGTATGTTCCTGTTTTTGCAGCTGAAGCTAGATTCCAAGTCCTGCAGGAAAAGGTGGGGGCTGGAAGGAGGGTCGCCAACGAGTAAGAGCCAGATACTAAAACATGACTCCTTGGGCGCAAGACAGGTCTGGGCGCAAGACAGGTCTATCCTCAAGACAGGTGGTGCACAAATGGAGTGTTACACAGATAGGAAGAGATGTGGCAAGAGCTCTGGCAAATTGCAAAACCGTGGAATATGCTTGGGATGTGTGTAACACTGTGGTGAAGAGAGGCTGACAAATCCTCTACATGACACTTATTGTATGAAGAAAACATATCCATTTTACACACACACACACACACAATCAATCTTCTGATCAGTGAAAGGAGCTACTGACAGTGGTCCCTGTGCATCGTCCACATGCCTCTCCCATGAGTGGCAGCCACCTGAGAAGGGCAGCTTTCAGGGCCCCGAGTGGCTGTGTGTCCCTGTCTGCTGTGGGTAGGATTCTGCCTGCCAGGCACACTCAGCCTCCCAGTGACCTCTTGTTAGAGACACATCGGGTGGGATGCTGGCCATAGGCGGGCGCTCTCCTAGAAGGGGGAGATGGCTCCTGTGACTGAGGGGAACGTTACACAATCAGTCGTTCCCTCAGGATGGAGGCAGGTGTTTATCTTCACTGCAGGAGTTGGTTTGTCTGGTGCTCCCTGAGAGGGACATTACGGTCACGGGTGCAGGGCTGCAAATAGGATCTGTCCAGGTTCTCACCGGCCTCCAGCTGGGGCATTTCAGCATCAAGAAACTGCCTGCCCATGTGCTGGGGGCGCTGTGGTCTCTGATGTCTGTCTGGCCTCATATAGGGGAGGGTGGGGATGTATTCATGGTGCATGTGTGTGTTGAGTGTATTTGATGTGACCGGAATGTGAGAAAATAAAACAAAAAACCATAAGGAAGGGAAGAGAACACGGACTAATGTGTGCCAGGCTGAGCTCTGACAGTCCTATGGCAGATACCAGCTCTAAATTCAGCCTCTCTTTGAGTCTCCTATTTGAAAGCAGTTATCTGCGCTCTCAAGGGCTCTCTCTCAAGCCATTGAGTAGATTAGCTGAAGAATTAGTGAAAAATCATTTAAATTTATATATATAATAAGGGGATTGAGAGGCTGAGGCAGGAGGATTGCTTGAGGCCAGGAGTTCAAGACCAGCCTGAGCAACATAGCAAGATCCCCATCTCTACAAAAATTTAAAAATTAGCTGGGCATGGTGGCACACACCTATAGTCCCAGCTACTGGGGAGGCTGAAGTGGGAGGATCACTTGAGCTCAGCAGTTTGAGGCTACAGTGAGCTGTGATTGCACCACTGTACTCCAGCCTGAACAACAGAACAAGATCCTGCCTTAAAAAAAAAAAAAAGAAAGAAAGAAAGAAAAGGCCAGGAGGCACGGTGACTTATGCCCATAATCCCAGCACTTTGGGAGGCTGAGGTGGGCAGATCGCCTGAGCCCAGGGCAGATCGCTTAGACCAGCCTGAGCAACATGGCAAACCCCTGCCTTTACAAAAAAAAAAAAATAGAAAAAAAAAATTAGCCAGGTGCCTGGGAGTCAGAGGTTGCAGTGAATCAAGATCGTGCCACTGCAGTCCAGCCTGAGCAACGGAGCAAGATCCTGTCTCAAAAAAAAAAAAAAAAGAAAAAGGAAAGAAAGAAAAGAAAAAAGTCTAAAAAAGAAAAGGATAAAGTCTATTTGAAACTTCCATTTGACTCTCCATTTTCCATTCTTTTCCTTCTTTCCGTTTCCCATATAAATAGATCCTTTCCTGGATAAATAACTCATTCCATTATTTCCATTATTAAAATTCCATCTATCCTGATCTCATTATAATTAACCAATTTTCAAAGAATGCAAAAATACAAATCTACACTGGTTAGACATTCTTAAAATCTGCCATGCTGCTGTTATTAAAAAAAAAAAAAGTTTTGGGGGAGAGGAGAGGGGTCTCTTTGTTGTTGTGTCACATCTGCAGAAAAATGTATTTTGTGAAAGAGTATCGGCCGCAGGAAAACACTTAGAGATTAATGAGAGTATCTATATTCATACCATTCCTTTGGGCTACAAGGCTATTGGCTTAAAAATGAAGCTTTATGTTTAAATTTATGGACCATGGGTCAGGAAAGGTAGGGAAAATGAGACTTTTATTAAAGGAGAATTATAGAAAACTTAGCAAAATATTGCAGCCAAAACCCCCCTCCACTTGAGCATCTGAGATTCCTTGGGGTTTTTGTGTTTTCGTTTCCAGGTTTCTAAATAGCATGAGATCTCATCTGAACTTGAGTTGTTATTGTTTCCAGAAACAAGTTCAGAAGAGACTTTGGGAGACAGCTGGAAGGAAAATAGCTGTGGCCCCACTGAATGAGGAGGGAAAGGATCGGGATTCCTGCCACCCGTCTCCTGGCTTCTTCCCCACCCTCTATCCTCAGCCCTCTCCTTGGGAAGTATGATCGCCCCAAAATGAGAGATTGGCCCTTTGCGGGTGACATTTAAAACACATGAGCTGCACATGTTCTGTAGCTCCTAGGAGGAATCCACGTGTTGCAGTCAGAGAAAGACATGGAAGGAGGCACCTTGTTGCCTATTTTTAACGTTTCATCCCTTGCTTACCTTTGAAAAATGATTGGTGGGTGCATGTGTTGTTTATTGAGGCCCAACTAAGCACAGGCATTGGAGAAATCTAGAACCATGGTACTTTGTGAATAAATGAATGAATGATGACATTTTTCTGTTGTCTGGGCTGTGCATATCAACCTAACCACAATATTGCCTGTGACAGTCCCTCTCTATAGCAAACACCAGAACTTCCTCTCTTTATTTGATCACTCTTTGTCCTTGCCCCACAGTTCTGTAATCATCAGAAGCAACACTGCTTAGAGAAGTAAGGACAATAAGTACAGTGATACCTAGGGTAAGCCTTCAGTTAAGAAAAGGAAATCTGGATGTCCACCACCATCTGAATCTCAGCAAAAGACCTGCTTTAGACTCAGCAGAGCCTAAGCATGCCCACAGTGGTGGGCATGTTCGGTGGGTGTATCCTGGGTCCACCAGCAGTCTCCTTTCCTGCGGGAGGTCAGCTGCATGGACGTGGACATCTGTGCCTCCACATTGGGCAGTGGCAGTGATTAGGCATTGCTGGGAGACCTCACTGAAGGGCTAAGACAGTAAAGGAGGAAAATGCCCAATGCCATTTGATAATTGCAGGACTTGATTTGGGGCACACATTAGAAACCAACTGGGGTGGCTGGGTGCAGTGGCTCATGCCTGTAATCCCAGCATTTTGGGAGGCCAAGGCAGGCAGATTGCCTGAGGTCAGAAGTTCAAGACCAGCCTGGCTAACATGGTGAAACCCTATATCTACTAAAAATACAAAAATTAGCCAGGCGTGGTGGCACATGCCTGTAGTCCCAGCTACTCGGGAGGCTGAGGTGGGAGAATTACTTGAACCCGGGAGGCGGAGGTTGCAGTGAGCTAAGATTGCAACACCGCACTCCAGCCTGGGCAACAGAGCAAGACTCCATTTCAAAAATAAAATAAATATAAAATAAATTTAAAAAAAAACCAACTGGGGTATCCCAGAATTAATTGAGGTAATTTGCAAACATTAGAGGTTATGTATTTTTGTGACATGGAAAATTGTTATTTATAAGTCATCTGAATATTTTTTGGCTTAGTCCTCTTAGTTGGAGTATTGGGCCCAGTGTAACTCTCTATCCTTAAAGAGAAATGGTGCAAAGGTCATCTAATCTGATTGCCATTATCTGTCACTGTTGATCACCAGGATTGATGTGGTTATATGACTATCAAAGCAAGTGTCTCCTTCCTCTTTGGATATCCATAGTGTCCCAAATCTGAATACCTTCATCAAAAAGGAAGACGTTCTCTATCATGATCTTCCCATCAGTCAAGGTTCCAGCAGGAAACAGATGGCTCCTAATTATGATAACCTGAGGAGGGTTTATTTACAACAGAACTAATTATAAAGGTGTGGGCAGGCTTCAGAATCCTTCTCAACACAGAGCTCCAGGCTGCCTTTACCAACCAACCAGAGTTGACAAATGAACTGTACCTGTTTTTCAGTGTGACTCATGTAGATTACTGTTAGTTGCATCTTCCATAAGAGCCAAGAAAGCAATAGACTACTTATCTATTTTTATATAAAGACATTATAGATAGGAAATTCTTATATGCAACAAGTTAAGAGAGGACATAAATTCTGAACTGAGAAAGACCCACCTCTTAGCTCCCCAAGGCAGGAAAGCAACACATCTCTGTATTAGTCCATTCCTGCACTGCTATAAAGAAATGCTTGAGACTGGGTAATTTACAAAGAAAAGAGGTTTAATTGGCTTCTAATTCTGCAGGTTGCGCAGGAAACATAGCGGCTTCTGCTTCTGGGGAGGCCTCAGGAAATTTCCAATCATGGCAGGAAACAAAGTGGCTGCAATGTGTCATACATGCTAGGAACAGGAGCAAGAGGCAGTGAGGGGAAGATGCCACACACTTTTAAACAACCAGATCTCATGAGAACTCATTCACTATCAGGAGAACAACACCAAGGGGAAGGTGCTAACCCATTCATGAGAAACTGCTCCCATCATTCAATCACCTCCCACCAGGTCCCACCTCCAACACTGGGTATTACAATTGAACATGAGATTTGGGTAGGGACACAGATCCAAACCATATCATTCTGCCCCTGGCGCCTCCCAAATCTCATGTCCTTCTCATATTGCAAAATAAAATCATTCCTTCCCACCAATCCCCAGTCTTCACTCATTCCAACATTAACTCAAAAGTCTTATCTGAGACAAGGCTAGTCCCTTCTGCCTATGAACCTGTAAAATCAAAAACAAGTTAGTTATTTCCAAGATACATGGGGGTATAGGCATTGGGTAAATACTTCCATTCAAAAAGGGAGATATCAGCCAAAAGAAAGGGGCTACAGGCCCCATGTAAGTCCTAAACCTAGCAGGGCAGTCATTAAATCTTAATGCTCCTAAATCTCTTTTGACTCCATGTCCCACATCCCAGCCACACTGGTGTGGATGGTGGGCACCCAAAGCGTTGGCCAGTGCTGCCTCTGTGGCTTTTCAGGGTTTAGCCTCCACAGCTGCTCTCATGGACTGATGTTGAGTGCCTGTGGCTTTTCTCGGTACAGGGTGCAAGCTGCCAGTGGATCTTCTGGGGCCTAGAGGACAGTGGCCCTCTTCTTACAGCTCCACTAGGCAGTGCCCCAGTGGGGACTCTGTGGGGGGGGCTCCAACCCCACATTTTCCCTCTGCGCTGCCTTAGCAGAGGTTCTCCATGAGGGCTCTGCCCCTGCAGCAGGCTTCTGCCTGGACACCCAGGCTTTTCCATACATACTCTAAAGTCTAGGCCTCAACTCTTGTACTCTGAACACCCACAGCCTTACTACAATATGGAAGCCACCAAGGCGTACAGTTTGCACCCTCTGAAGCAGCAGCCTGAGCTGCACCTGGGCCCCTTTGAGCCATGGCTAGAGCTAGAGTGACTGAGATGCGGGGAGCAGTGTCCCAAGGCTGCACAGGGCAGCGGGGCCCTAGGCCTGGCCCATGAAACCATTCTTCCTTCCTAGGCCTCTGGGCCTGTGATGGGAGGAGCTGCTGTGAAGGTCTCTGAAGTGGCTTCCAGGTCTTTTCCCCATTGTCTTGGCTATTAGCACTTAGCTCCTTTTTACTTATGCAAATTTCTGCAGCCTACTTGAATTCCTCCCCTGAAAATGGGCTTTTCTTTTCTACCAAATGGCCAGGCTGCAAAGTTTCCACTTTTACCCTGTTTCCCCTTTAAATGTAAGTTCCAGTTTTAGGTCATCTTTTTGCTCATGCATGTCAGCATATATCATTAGAAGCAGCCAGGCTACATTTTGAATTTGGCTGCTTAGAAATTTCTTCTGCCAGATACTCTAAATCATCACTCTCAAGTTCAAAGTTCCACAGATCCCTAGGGCAGAGGCACAGTGCAGCCAAGTTCTTTACTAAAGCATAACAGAAGTGACCTTTGCCCCAGTTCCCAATAAGTTCCTCATTTCCATTTGAGATTTCATCATCCTGGCCTTCACTGTCCATATCACTTTGAGCATTTTGGTCACAAGCCATTCAACCAGTCTCTAGGAAGTTCCAAATGTTCCGTCATCTTCCTCTCTTCTTCTGAGCCCTACACACTCTTCCAATCTCTGTCCATTACCCAGTTCCAAAGTCACTTCCACATATCCAGGTATCTTTATAGCAATACCCTACTCCTCAGTTTCAAATTTCTGTATTAGCCTTTTCTCGAACTGCTACAAAGAAATACCTGAGACTGGGTAATTTTTAAAGAAAAGAGATTGAATTGGCTCCTGGTTCTGCAGGCTGTACAAGAAACCTAGCAGCTTCTGCTTCTGGGGAGTCCTCAGGAAGCTGCCAATCATGGCAGAAAACAAAGGGGGAGTGAGGCATCTGACATGGCAGGAGCAGGAGCAAGAGAGAGAGGAGGAGGTGCCACACACTTTTCAACAACCAGATCTCATGAGAACTCATTCACTATCAGGAGAACAGCACCAAGGGAATGGTCCTAAACCATTCATGAGAAACCACCCCCATGATCCAGTCACCTCCCACCAGGCTGCACCTCCAACACTGGGTATTACAATTGAACATGAGATTTGGGTGGGGACACAGATCCAAACCATATCAATCCCTAACTTCATAGAGTTTTATTATACATCATAATCATCTTTCTAATTCCCACCCATCCAGCACCTTATCTGGAAAACGTTCATCAGATATATCTTAAATCATATTGAATTAAGTAAAATGGAAATAAAATAAAATAAATAAAGGTTAAACCCATTGGTCTAAATCACAGCTCTTGACTCCTCTGGGATCTTCTTACTTCCACAGGATAGAACACAAATCTCACGTTTTCCCTTGTAGATGGAGGCTGACACTTTGCGCATGCTATTTCTTTCCTTATTGCTCAGTGACCTCTGTCTTGTCAGTAGAGTCATATGCAGGCTGTCTCCACATCTTCACATCTCTCTAACCTTACCTGCTTGCATGTCCACCCACCTATTGAAGCAGCCTCCTTCAACCTTTTATGACAGCATCTAGAGCTGTTGTTCTCAAACTTTAGCATGCACGTGCATCTCCTGGAGAGAGCTTGTAAAACCAGCACAGATGGCTGTGCCCCACTCTCAGACCTTCTGATTCAGTAGCTCCGGAGCCCAGTGGTTTGCAGGTTAGAGAGCACCCAGGTGATGCTGACGCTGGGGACCACGCTGTGAGAAGCACTGACCTGGGATTCTTCACAATCCTCAGTGCAGGTTTGAATTACCTGCAAAGCTTAAACAAACAAACAAAAAAATACAACAGGCTGGGAGCAGTGGCTCATGCCTGTAATCCTAGCACTTTGGAAGCCCGAGGTGGATGGATCACCTGAGGTCAGGAGTTCGAGACCAGCCTGGCCAACATGATGAAACCCCGTCTCTACTAAAAATACAAAAATTAGCTGGGCATGGTGGCGCGTGCCTGTAATTCCAGCTTCTAGGGGGGAGGCAGGAGGATTGCTTGAACCTGGGAGGCGGAGGTTGTAGTGAGCTGAGATCGCGCCACTGCACTCCAGCCTCGGCGACAGAGAGAGACACCGTCTTAAAAAAAGAAAAAAAAAAAACAGTGCTTAAGCTCTACTTTCATACATTCTGATTTAATTGGTTAAGAATGTGGCCCAGGTTTAAGGTAACACAGGTTATTCTAAGGTGCTACGGGAATGAGAACCACTGACATAGAAACCATGGCAAGCGGCAGAGATCAGGAAAAGAGACAAAATGCTGTAGCAAGAGGACCAGCAATGGGCTTGAAGTTATAAGTTCAGTGTGGTTTTTGTTCCCACTAGTCTCGTGAAGGGTGATGATTGGCAGTGGTGGCCCTGCACCAGTTTTGCCTCAATCTCAGTCTTTTCCTTTGATCAGATCATGTTAAGCTTCTTGAAGACTCTGACAGAGGGTTACTTAAAAAATGCTTTGTGCTCCTAGAAAGAAGGTTCATTTTTTGCCAAAGGTACCTGGTAGAGCTCTTTATTGGAAAGGAGCAGGGAAAAGCAAAGGCTAAATTTTAGTTTTTAAGGTGTGAGGAGAAGCTAATAGCAAAAGATAAAACATGGTCTATATTTGATGGCAGAGCTTTTTAAATCATCTGTGCGTGGTCATTCTTGCTGATGTTGTTTTTATATATAGCTCTAACTGAAAGCCTAGCCCAATTTCTGGCACATAATACACGCAGGGATGGTTGGAGGAGTTAAGCTAAAGGTGACCAAATCTCCTGAGTCACTTTAAAGTGGTGGAGCACTGGACATTTGTCTTTTATTCTGTATTTCCTAGCTTTTTGGCATCACAATGTTTTGGCACTCATTTTGATGGATTCTTCTTGTAAAAATAGCCTTGTTGAAATGACTGTCTTAATTTCTGTTGTAATTAACTACCTTAATTTCTGTTATAACAACTCAGATACTCTTTCAAAGTGGAATCATCCTGACATGGGGTTTATGTCCAATAATCCTAATAATACTGAAAATGTTCACTGTGCAGGCTCTCAACCGTCTCACTGTTTTGTTTTTCAATGGATTTGATGCCTAGTAATACACACAGTCCCATCATTACTCCAAAAGTGATTTCCACTCAACATGACCAGCAATATTACAATACTTTTTTGGGTTATTATCTCAGTGTCTCATCTTAGCCACAGGCCATTGCACTGGGGTCATAGCCTCCAGAGAATAAAGCCAAAAATATTCTTTTAAGCGTAACCTGTTTATCTATTTCAGGTAAGGGATTTTTTTCAAGTTACCAAAAATAGTATTTCATGCTTTGTACTTATTTTTAAAAGGGACTTTCACATCTAATTCTCCTTTGATCCTCCTGACAGTCCTACACAGCAGGCGGGCTAGATGTCATTATGACCATTTGTCATATAGTGAAATTGGGCATGGAGGGGTAAGGAGATGTCATGTGCTCAAGGGACCTTCTGATGAGTGGTGCAGGCAGGCCAGGATGCGGGCCTCAGGGCCCCAGTTCATCTTCCCCCCTCTGTGCTCTCTCCTCTAGCCAGGCTAACTGTTCTTAGCTTAAGGGGAATGACAGAAATTTGAAAATCATTGATGGAAATGCCTGGGAAGAGCTGGGCGTGCGGATCAATAGTATTAAGAGTTGTTCTGCTCAGTTTGCAGAGAGAAAAGGGCATAGTACTGAGGAATAAAAGCAAAACTGCTGTTCAGCCCTCCCAGCAGCCCCTCTTCTGTGGCAGGAATGCCTTCCCATACGCCCAGCATTCTCATTCATCCCATGGGCACAACTCCAGGGGCGAGAGATTATTAATTTGTTTAACATAAAAAATCAAATGAGCCCCTATTATGTGCCAGCTGCTGTACTAAGTACTAAGAACACAGAGATAAATAAGATGTAATTGGTGGTTTTGGAGCATTCATCGTCCAACTGAGAAGATCTTCATGTACGCAGGTATCACCAATGTAATGGATAAGGCCATCGTCAAGATGGGGAACTCCATAGACAGAACTACTACCTCTGCCTGGTAGAATCAGAGGAGGCATCTCAGCTTCCCTAAACTGTGAATGTGCTACTGGGTTGTCCTACTGTGAATAAGGGAGTGAAGGTAAATGAGGCATTGTGGCCAGGCTGTGGTGTGGAGTGAATTCAAGCATTATTCTTAGCGCAATGTCAGGCGGTGGAAGGCTGGTAGCAGAGGAGTAAAACAACCAAGCTATGTCCTCCCCGCCTCCCAACTTCTCCTCTGCCCCTTCTTAGCACTAAAATACTAAGAATTTTGACCAGGACTGGCAGTTAAAGTATTCTCTTTGTTCCATCGCACAGAGATGAAAAAGCTGAGGCTTAGAGAGGAATGCCGTCTCATTCAAGATCTCACACTTGTTAAACAGCAGGCTGACCCAAGCTGGTGACTGGCATGCATCATACTGCCCAAAGCCACTCTGAAGGATAGGGCACCCCTGGGCTTTTATCACACCTGAGATCTGCTGAGTAGCAGGAATTAGGAAATATTAAGAGAGAAATATGAGACTATTAGTCAAAGGTATCATATAATAGAGAAAGGTTTAGTAAAATAAGGGCTCCAAAAGGCCACTGGATTAGACAATTGAATCATCGATGACCTTATCAAGAATTGATTCAGTAGAGCAAGGCTTCTCAACCTAAGCACTGTTGATGCTTTGGACTGAATGATCTTTGTGGTGGGGGCTGTCCCATGCATTGGAAGATGTTTAGCACCCTGGCCTCTATCTACCGGATGCCAACAGCACCCTCTCAATCGCAACAACCAAAAATAACTTCAGACATTACCAAATGCATCCTAGGAGGCAAAATCACCCATGCTGAGAACCAGCACAGTAAAGCTGTGTGAACAGAAGCCAGACTGGAGAGTTACTGAGACCTCGAGCCTGGACCACCCTTTCGAGAGGTCTGGCAGCCAAGAGCAGACAGGTGAGAGGGGTGAGCTGGAGGAAGAGGCTGGCGTAGGAGGACAGCTTTGTTCGTTTGTTGTTGTTTTAAAGAGTTTTATTTCTAATGGAGAATACAGTTGTTTGCCCTAAGGAAAGAACCAAGAAAGAGGTAAAGGTTAAAGGTAAGGAAAAGTCACCAAGTAGCATCCATTTAATTATTTCACAAACATTAAGCATCTCCAGTTACCAGACTCTGTGCTAGGCTCTGCAGATGTCATGGTGAACAAGTGAGAGGTTCCTTGTTCAAAAGATAAAAAAATATTGAAAAGTTTGAAATGGCAACAGAGCATTAAACCCCAAGCAGGAAGCCCTTCTGTGCAGGGGTGGAGTAGGAGGGTGTTCTGTGCACCTGCTCAGATTCTATGGACAGGAAGCTATCCCTGGTTGTCTAAGTGAGGCAGAGGTGGCCCTGGCCTCACAGAGTGTAAGCCTTGTTGTCTGGTGAATAGGACAGGCAATAAAAGAAAGTAAAACAAGCACTGGGGTATGGAACATGCAGGAATATTGTTGCACACTGTAGGACACCTAAACCAAGAGATTTGCAGACAGAGGAAGTGATACTGAAGCTTTAAGCTGTAACGTTAGGGATTATTGTCAGTTAGACAGACAAAGAGGAAGGAAAAGAATGGTAAGGCTATGAGGAAGGGCATGCAAATCTGGAAGGAACCAAGAAGAGATCATTCTGGGTGAAGGACAGAATGGGCAGATTCTTGACAGGCAGGTAGCCAGATCATGAAGAATCTTTCAGAACACTGAGTGTTTTGACTCTGTCCTGTGAGCACTGTAAAGGCATACTTACTTTTCAAGCACAGAGTGGTGTGATCAGATCGGTCCCTTAGAAAGATCATTCTGTATGGGCTGGAGGAGGACCAGAGTGGGATAGGCTGGCAGCAACTGGGAGAGATGCTGATGGACTGCTTCCCCAAGGTGGTGGTAGATGGAATCAGAGATGGTTTGGATATAGGACTCTTGGTGGTTGATTGGCCATCAAGAGTGAAGTTCAGACAGGATGATTCCCAGTTTCATGGCCTGGGCATCTCACTAGGACTCCATACAAGACCACTTGGAGAGGAAGATGTATGGGGGAAGAAGATGAGTTAATTCATTTGGGACCCTTTAAGTCTGATGGCCCATAGGAGTACAAGACAGCAGTTAGAAAGGTGGCCAGGAACTCAAAAATATGACTGGAGGTTTAGATTTTGGAATCATCAGCATATTGATGCTATTGGAAGTCATGAGTGTTGATGAGATCATCCAAGGAGCATGTGTGGCATCTGAACTGGTGGGATCTGGGTTAAATAGTTACTAAATGAGCATCTATTATGCTCTCTATGCTCTCTTAGGAACTGGGGATGTAGTAATAACCAAGGCCAGACAGAAATGCCCCAATCCTCATGGAACTCATAGGTTCTCAGGAGGAAGTTTCCAAAGGATGTAGAGGGGATAGAATTCAGTGCTTCTCCCTTTCCCCTGATCCCACCAAGCCCATCTACACTTCTGGATACCTGTTAGAAAACCCCATCTCCTCCTACTTTTGGAGAGAGGATCTTATTTTCTGTCATTCTCTGTGAGGACTTTTGCATTTCCTCTTTCCATCTGTCTGAAAATGCAGTTACCTTTCTCTGGTGCTGAGTTGCAGAAAACCCAAGTTAATTCTGTTTTTCCTTTGTCCTGAAATGCAGATACAGTTTCAGAGATCCAGACTTTAAAATCAAGGCCCTCAAAACAATAAGCAGTTGTAAATGCTAATGAAAGCTGTGACCTTGGTGTTCTGGAAACGGCAGAAAGCCCATTAGCTCTGTGCAGCACAACTAATCTCTGTCAGCCTCAACAAGTCAGACCAACAAAACCTACAAGGGTTTTGTCACTTCTCTAGGGAGATGCTGTAATGTGCAAAGACAATGCTGCCTGCTCTGCATACATTTAAAGCATCTTGCCACTACATTCTCTACCAGTCTTCTTTTTCCAAGGTCAAAACTGAAGTGTCCTTTATTTTGGGCTTTTAGTGTTTTTTTTTTTTTTTTTTTTTTTCAGTCTTTCCATGCAAAAAGAAAACTTCAATTTATTTGATTATTTCTTATGGTCACCAGTAGAGACAGCATTGTTCAGACTGAAAAAAAAAAAAAGGCAAGATCCATTCTTAAATTTTTAAAGAAAATAGAAGGCTCACATACAGCACTTGATAGCATGTGGCATTTAAACAGGAACCCAGAGATTTTTTCAGTTCACTGAATCATTTAGCCATAGTCCATGGTAAAGAAAAAACCATTTGAGGCATGGAAACCATTTTGCTGCTCAGACATATTTTATAAACCAGGGTCACATATATAGTAGCAAAGCTACTTAAGATCCCTTGAAAGTACATTAAACATTTAATTTTGGATGATTCATTTTATGTAAAAATTTATCTCCAAAAATCATTGCCTTTGACACCTAGCAAAGTGATCACGTTTAGATATACAGTCAGGAATTTTGTTTAATTTAATGTTAGTTTTAATCAGATACAACTAGTTAAATCTACTGGCAAGGTGGGAGCAAAGGAGATACAGTATATTCAGGAGGCATCTTGACTTTGATTCTTGGAGTTAGCAGCTCCTTGGGATGATTCATACAGGTGACCACGTCGTCGTGCTCTGCTGCTCAGCTTTCTATGTTAACCAGTACTTAAGAGATGCACCAGGTACATCGATCATAAAATGAGCCAAGCAGATGGCTGCTTTGCTTGGTGAAGATGGCAAGATGCCCTGGGTGTCCCCCGAAAATTTTGATGACTAGAATTCCAAAGCTGGAGCTTTATGCTTTGGGTTTGTGAATTTGTCTCTGATCAAAGACAAATCTCCCAGTGAATGGTAAAATTTTAAACTAAAATAAGTCATCTTCAGTGTATCTCAACTTGAAAGAATAAGCAAAAGCTATCAATTGGGAACTCTTCTATAATTCCAATACGGAACATTGCAAATCTACATGCAACCCACTCTGTCCTGCTTCCCTGCTGTCCCAGTAAAGAGCTGTTCTTCTTCCACTCAAAAATAATGCTACCTCCATCCCTTGGATCCCAAGCCCTCCTACCTTCTCAGGACTCATGCACTACCAATTGGGCCTTTCCCTTTTTATATATTCAGCTTCTCCCTCCACCCCCCACCATCTAATCTGGATTATTTCCATTAAACATGCCCCATTTTCATCCATTAAAAAAATAAAATTTGGGCTGGGTGTGGTGGCTCACACCTGTAATCCCAGCACTTTGGGAGGCTGAGGGTGGGTGGATCACCTGAGGTCAGGAGTTCGAGACCAGCCTGGCCAACATGGTGAAACCCCATCTCTACTAAAAATACAAAAATTAGCTGGTGTGGTGGCATGTGCCTGTAATCCCAGCTACTCGGGAGGCTGAGGCAGGAGAATCACTTGAACCTGGGAGGCAGAGGTTGCAGTGAGCCGAGTTTGCACCACTGCACTCCAGCCTGGGCCACAGAGTGAGCCCTCATCTGAGAAAAAAATACGATACAATTTGGCCAGGTGTGGTAGCTTATAACAGTAATCCCAGCACTTTGGGAGGCCAAGGCAGGAGGACAGCTTGAACCCAGGAGTTTGAGACTGGCCTGGGCAACACAGAAAGACCTCGTCTCTACCAAAAATTAAAAATTAGCTAGGTATGGTGGTGCATGCCTATAGTCCCAGCTGCTCAGGAGGCTGAGGTGAGAGGATTACTTGAGTCCGAGAGGTTGAGGCTGCAGTGAGCCAAGGTGGTGCCACTGCACTCCAGCTTGGGTGACCAGAGTGAGGCCCCATCTCTGAAAAAAAAAAAATAATAAAATAAAATAAATAAAATAAAATTCCACCACAGCCTCCTTCACTTCTACTTCTCTCACCCGCTTCAAAGCCAGGCTTCGTGGCTAAGTCCTCCAGCTTCGGTGCATCCATTTTTCCACCCCTGTCCTCAGCCCTCTCCAATCTGGCTTCTCTTCCTGCCACGCCACTGAAGGGGCTCTAGGTGTTGTCAGTAACAGCCTCCATGGTGCTAAACCCAGTGGGCATTTTTTTCAGGCCTCATCTAACCTTACAGCAGCTCTCAGAACTCTTTGTGGGCCATACCTATCATCTTACTGTTAACGAAAAGATTGACATGCAGGTCAAAGGCACTTATTTGGGAAGCAAAAATGGCAGCTGGGGTACACCGGATCAGGGCAGCCCTGAAGAGTGCCCTATAAGGCAGGCTGCAGGAGAGAATTTTTAAAATAGAGGATTGTCATAAAAAGTTATTTTCGGAAGTAGTTCATTGGCCAGGCAGAAATCCTAAATCACAAAGCCGTTGTGATTGGTTAGTTAATGAGAGTACTCTCAGCTGAGGTGTTGAAGGCCAGCAGATGCTGACTTCAGTTGTTTGACCGAGTCTATTGGAACATCCCCTGGGTTTGACCTTCAGCAGGTGTGAGTGCGATCCTCTTGCAACCTTCGACTCCACTTCAGAAAGCCTTAGCATTAGTTACTATATTTTCTTTCCCATTACGTTGCTTCCATGATATGACATTTTAGTCCTCATCCTACCTCCAAGAACTCCCCTCCCCAGAATCCATGGCAGGGTCATCCTCCTTAGTCCATGCATTAAATACTGGAATTCGGCAAAGTTCCATCCTAAGCCCTCGCCTCTTCCCATTCTCTACTCTCTCCATACTCATGGCTTCAAATATTGTCTATATTGCAGACTAGTCTCAGATTTCTATCACTGGCCTAGTCCTCTCCTCTCCACTGAGCTAAATGTATCCTGCTGCCTACATGACAGCTTCATTCATATGTCTCAGGAGCATTCTGATGTAACAGATCCAAATTCAAATTCATGGTTTTCTTCCACTCTTCCTTCACAAACACGCTGGTTCTCTTGCAGTGTGCCTGCCTCAGTGAACAGCATTCCCATCCATCTAGTTGCATGAGTTAGAAAACCTAAGGAGATATCCTGTACACCTGCTTCTTCCTGTCCATTCACATATGCTACCTGACTTCCTAAGAGCTTGCACATCACTGCCACAGCCTCGCCCAAGCCTCCACCATTTCTTACCAGGTGTGCCAAGCCTCCCAAAGCCTCTGCTCGGGTTTCCTCTTGCCTCCCCCAATCCCTTCTCCATATAATAACCAGCATGATCTCTTTCCACTGTAAGTCTGATCATTTCATTCACTCCTCCCCTCTCACACCCTAAAACTTAAACTCTTCAACGGCTTCACATTGCTCCTAGAAAAAGAAGATCTAAGTCCCGGAAGCATCTGTATTAGGCCATTCCCACACTGCTGTGAAGAAATACCTGAGACTGGGTAGTTTATAACGAAAAGAGGTTTAATTGGCTCACAGTTCTGCAGGCTGCACAGGAAGCATGATGCTGGCATCTGCCTCTGGTGAGGCCTCAGGAAGCTTCCAATCATGGTGGAAAACAGAGGGAAAGCAAGGAGTCTCACATTGGAGGAGCAGGAGCAAGAGGGAAGGGTGCTACACACTTTTAAACAACCAGATCTCGCGAGAATGCACTCAACTCACTAGAACAGCACCAAGTGGTTGGTACTAAACCGTTCATGAAAAACTACCCCCATGATCCAATCATGTCCCACCAGGCTCCACCTCCAACACTGGGGACTACAATTCAACATGTGATTGGCAGGGACACAGATCCAAATCACACCCACGGCATCTGGCCCCTGCCCTCCTTCCCACCAATCTTCTCTCCTTACTCTCTGCCCAGAAGGAGCATCCTTCTTCCATCCCTGAGCTCTGGGCACAGTGTCACTTCCTCCTGGAAGCCTTTCCTGACCTCCTGATTTGGTCAGATCCAGAGATCCCTGCACCAAGTGCCTCACCATGGAAGCCCTTACTCCAGCTACATTTTGCACTCATTTCTGTGACTGTTTGATTAATGGCTACCCCCATCCTCTTCCAGTCTTCTCTGTTCCAGAAGGGCAGGGACTGGTTTTGCTCATCACTGTACTCTGGTACCTAATGTAGAACCTGACACAGCACTGGCACTAATAAGTAACTTGCTAAATGAATGAATGGGTTTACATTTGAATGTAACTGAGTCTGTGGCACCCATTTCTAAAACAGGTCTTGATAGGAATGAGATAGAGCAAGAGTGATAACATAATTCTAGGAACTCGAGAGGGGAGGACTCCAGGGAATAGAGTCAATGCAGAACCACAGACACTTTATCTTCTTCACAGTTTTGCCTTGTGCCCAGTGAGCCCCACTTCCATGTGGCTGCTGAATGGTTTTTTTCTGACTCACCTCTTGCTGGCCAACTGAGATGCTGCAAGAATGTACAGTGCCTTCTACATGGGCAGTGAAAGTCTAAGTCACGCCCAACTTGCTTGTTGTTTTGAGGATATTTTATTACATGCCAGTCCTTGGAAACTGTTGATCCAGTTTTACCTTGCACATTGTAATCACAGATGTGCACCTCTAGGCTGTGAGCCGCTTAAGAATGTGTCTGGCCCTTCATGTGGCCCGTGGTTCATGTTGGGTAGATTAGCAGATGAAAGACTTAGGAAAACAAAAATTGGAATTCTTATCATTTGATCTCAGCCAGCGTCTCAAACTCAGAGGCCCTCGGGGGTCCAGGAATGATCTGAAAAAAAAAAAAAAAAAAAAAAAAAAAAAAAAAAGCAGGACAGATGTGAGCGTGCTCACCTGTATTACATAAGTGAGGCCTGGGGAGAGGGCTAATTTGATCACACACTCTGTCTAAAGGCATTCAGGCTCAAAAAAAGTATAACCAGCTGGGCTCAGTGGCTCACACCTGTAATCTCAGCACTCTGGGAGGCCGAGGTGGGTGGATCACCTGAGGTCAGGAGTTTGAGACTAGCCTGGCCAACGTGGTGAAACCGCATGTCTACTAAAAATACAAAAATTAGCTGGGCGTGGTGGCACACACCTGTAATCCCAGCTACTCGGGAAGCTGAGGCAGGAGAATCGCTTGAACCTGGGAGGTGGAGGTTGCAGTGAGCTGAGATTGTGCCACTGCACTCCAGCGTGGGTGACAGGGCAAGACTCTGTCTCAAAAAAGAGAAAAAAGTGTAACCTCTGAGCATGCCAAAGAGAACTGATAGAGTCAAATCCAGTGCACCAGGCATCAGTTTGCAACCTCTGACTAGTAAAGTATCATAGTTATGGCAGACAAAATATTGGCCACCCTTCCACAAGATGTCCACATCCTCATCCCCAGATCTATGAATATGTAACGTCCCAGGGCAAAGGAGACTTTGCAACTGGAATTCAGTTAAAAATCTTAAGATAAAGATTAAATGAACTAACATATGTACAGTGCTTGGAACCATACCCTTACATTATAGGCATTAAATCAGCCTTAGCTTATTAAACTAGTATTTATGATTTGCAGAGAAAAGAGCATAGGCCTAGCAGGATCTGATACCTTGTCTGAGGTAAATAGGTTCAGAGCAGAGCCTGGACTAGAACCCAAACCTCCTAGCTCCTGAGCTACTTAGTGCTTTGTCCTTACAATGCCACCATATCATTTTCCTCCCAAATCTCATTTTCAAGGTCAAAACAACTAACTATAGCACAGGCCCTTCTGGCGGGCTCAGCTGCATGTTATAGCTATGATTAGTCTTGATGTTCTCAGTCGCTTTCCAGAGAAATGAAACACAAACAGAGGAACTCATTTGAAATTATGAGTGTTTGACTATAAAGCAGCCTAGTTAATAACAGAATTTTCTCTGATCAGAGTCTAGTCACTCAGTTTTGCCCCCTCCAAATATGACCACCCATAAAAAAAAGGGGAGGCCACCACAGAGCCAGTTGTCATGTTCACTAATGAGATCAATGGGATGGCACCGTCAAAGCTGATGAGGGAACAATGTAGTCTGCAGACACTTCGCATAAGACTCCAAAACACTGGCCTGATCTCCAAATGTAGGCGCCACCCACATTTACAAGGCTTTCTCAAAACATTCTGCCCCCAAAACTTAGCTTGACTTAAAGCCTGGGTATTACCAAACCATTCCATAAAAGTGGCTGCGCATCTCTTATAAAAGCAGCAAGTATTTTTAGGGAAAATAAACTGGCAGGTGAGAAAGAGCTGTTAAGATCTTTCAACGTGGAGTTGGTAAGCTGCATTCCAGACCTCTGACACCGGCTCACTCAGTTGCATAATCATCGCTTTCCTCCTGCAGCGTGAGAATGCTATTTTAGAAAGAATTCAAAGACTACTGCATCCAAATTTAGACCCCCTAATATTGTGAATTTCCAAATACACAGCTGGCCCTTGTCAATGGGGATGAAAAATGTCTTAATGGGATTGCAAAGAGAAAAAACAAACTTTGACTGGGAGCAGTGGCTCATGCCTGTAATCCCAGCACTTTGGGAGGCTGAAGCAGGTGGATCACCTAAGGTCAGGAGTTCAAGACCAGCCTGGCCAACATGGTGAAACCCTGTCTCTACTGAAAATACAAAAAACTAGCACGGGGCATGGTGGCACGCACCTGTAATCCCAGCTACTCAGGAGGCTGAGGCAGGAGAATCGCTTGAACCCGAGAGGCAGAGGTTGCAGTGAGCTGAGATCGCACCACTGCACTCCAGCCTGGGCAAAAAAAGCTAAACTCTGTCTCAAAAAAAGAAAAAAACAAACTTTTTTTCACTCTACTCTCACACTTAACACACTTCTGTGACCCCACACATTTCTGTGTGAGGCAGCTCCCCACACACCAAGCAATTCTCCAGCAGACATGAACTGGACATCCTGTAATTCAATTTGATTCTGACCCTTTCTACTGGGACAGTGTCAGATCACACAGGTTAAGGACTCAGTCCCACAGAACTGCCCCCACTTCAGATGCCAATACCAAGTCATAGGTTGTCACCTATATTATGACCCACTAGCTGTAAACTGGGGTTCTCACAACTCCCTCTTTGTGTTCAAATAATTTGCTAAGACAGCTCACAGAACTCAGGGAAACACTTACTTTACCAGTTTCTTACAGAGGTTACAGATGAACAGCCAGATGAAGAGATGGACAGGGCAAGGTATTGGGGGAGAGAGGCAGAGCTTCTGTGCACTCTCTGGGTGCCACCCTCCCAACAGTGCCCCCCAGCCCCATGGTCAGCAACCTGGAAGCTCATCTAATCTTGTGGTTTAAGAGTTTCCATAGAACTTCACCTCCAGCCCCCCACCCTCCTGCTTCCCAGCTGAAAGCTCCAGGCCTCTAACTATGTGTTCTTTCTGGTGGCCAGCCCCATCCTAAGTCACCTAATTAGCACAAACTCTGGTGTAATCCAAAGGGACTCATTCCAAGTAACAAAATACACTCCTGACACCCCAGAAATTCCAGGGGTTTTAGGTGCTCTGTGATAGGAACTGGGTCAAAGATAAATATGTTTTATATTATACCACAGGGATATTTTGAAAAGGAATAATAAATATGAAAATGTTCTTATACTCTTAAAAACACTTTGGAATGCAATTTCCAACAGTTTCAGGGTGCTATAGGCTTTATAAGCAGGTATATGACCAAAAATCCTTTCTCTGACATTGTATTAGGCCATTCTTGCATTACTATAAAGGAATACCTGAGACTGTGTAATTTATAAATAAAAGAGGTTTAATTGGCTCATGGTTCTGCAGGCTATACAGGCAGCATGGCCCTGGCATTTGCTTGACTTCTAGGGAGGCCTCAGGAAACTTCCAATCATGGAGGAAGGTGAAGGAGAAGAAGGCACATCACATGGCAAAAGCAGGAGCAAGAGAGAGAGAGAGAGTGAGCAGGGAGTTGCCACATGCTTTTTTTTTTTCTTTTTTTTTTTTTGAGACAGTCTCACTTTGTCACCCAGGCTGGAGTGCAGTGGCGCAATGTCGGCTCACTGCAACCTCCACCTCCCAGGTTCAAGCGATTCTCCTGCCTCAGCCTCCCAAGTAGCTAGGATTACAGGCATGTGCCACCATGCCCGGCTAATTTTTGTATTTTTAATAGAGACGGGGTTTCGCCACAAAGTTTTAAATGACCAGATCTTGCAAGAACTCACTGTCAAGAAGCTAGGACCAAGCCATGAGGGCTCCCCATCCAAGCACCTTGCACCAGGCCTCCCCCCGAGCAATGGGGATTACCATTCAACATGAGATTTGGGCAGCGACAAATATCCAAACTATATGAGACATTGAAGCCCATTCCCTATATAGGATGTGTGGTGGTGACACGGGAATGTCACAGAAGCAATTGATTCTGGCCCAGCACAATAAACAAAAACACAAATGACAACAAGCTTTGAATTAAAAATATAGTCCTTTCTGGGAGATTGATTCCAGGACTCCCTTGGATACCAAAATCCAAGGAAGCTCAAGTCCCTTGTATAAAATGGCGTAGTATTTGCAAAAAACTATGTGTATCCTCCCATATCCTTTAAATCATCTCTAAATTACTTATATCTAATACAAGATAAATGCTATATCAATAATTTTAGACTATTGTTTTTTGTTTGTTTTTTTTTTTAATATTTTCCGTCAGCAGTTGGTAGAACCGAAGAATGTGGAACTCATGGACACAGAGGACCAACTGTAGTTAGGTTTGGAGACTTCATTGACTTGATATTTTCACTCTAGGATCTCTCTTTAGATTTCAAGATGTGAACATCTTGCCGACTATAGACACCAGTTTCTAATACCCAAGGAGGGACTGCAACTTCCTCAACTAGGAGAGCATCATTTCTACCCCTTAGATCCCAATAGAGGAGTCTGAGAAGCCTAAAATTTCTTCTACAATGATTCAGTTTCTCACACACCTCATCCCAATGGGTGAAGTGGAATGCCGGATAATTGCAGGTTGTTAAATAATTACCAAAAGCTTCAAAGGTACAGATGTCTCTGTTCCTGCTCAGGCTCCTGAGTCCGTGTCAGTCATTCCTGGGACCTAATGCAGGCATTCTCCCCTCAGATGCCATGCCCGTTCCCTGGCTACTTCTGTCACTACGTGCCATCCACTGCCTGTCCCGCCTCCACCCATTGCGTCATTGCAGGCTCATGCCCTGGCTATGATGTTTCATGTACGGTGGCTAAATTTCACGCCTGGCCACAGAAGTATCATTTCTGTGCCTTTGCCACTCATGTCTTCTAAGCCTCCGAAATAAGAGGAGCAGGACCAGAAGAAGAGCAGCCATTGTTCTCTGCAGACAGACACATTCTCTCACATGTCCCCGGGGCCACAGACCTCTTTATGTTCTAACTGGGTCTGCACAGAAGAGGCAGGAGACAGGCTTTAGCCTCAAGGGAGGGAGAGAGAGGCAAGAGGCCACAGTCCCCAAGTTAGGAGGCCACAAGGAAAGAAAAGGACTTCTGTGAAGAAAAGAGTCCCGTCTGAGTTGCAGTCCACTTGCCTGGGGCCACTGGAGGAGATGGGGCTGGGGAGGGGCCGCTGCAGGGAGGAGGGCGGGGGTCAGCGGCTGTGACATGACGCACGTGCCTCTCCTGGGCTTGAAATTGAGGAACTGAGGAGGCGGTGGTGGCGAGAGTCAGTCTTTCAGAGCACAGGATGGAACAAGAACTCCAGCCACTGACTGTCTCATGTATCTGCAAGGGCCGAGGAAATTAATGACCCAAGGAGGCTATGATATGGTCCAAAAACTTTTCCTGGATTTTTTCCGTAGGCGGCTGAGCCAGAGGCCAACTGCAGAGGAACTGGAACAGAGGAACATTTTGAAACGTAAGTGACTAAGCCCATGGCAATCCCTGATGTTTTGTGGCGGCTTTTGTTATTATTTAATGGTAGGCCACAAGGTTTCTACCTTGCGCCTCTGCGGAAAGCATTGAAAACCTTTCTAACGGTTGAAGCTTCATGTGTGCATGTTAGAACACCAAAGACGACCTCCCCAAAGAGAAGGCAAATTTTATTCCACTTTATTCTTTAGAAGCTCACGGGCGGCAGGCAGAACCTTCCTTTTAGTGAGTTGTAAAGTCAGAGAGAAGCTGAAAAATTAGAGTGAGACCACTTATTATTTAATGATTTTTAAGAGCAGGGTCACCTTTAAACCAGAATTGGCTTGAAAATGGAGACTGTGATATGCACGGCTAAAATAAGGGAAATGTCCATTTGAACTGAGACTAGAAAGCATGACTTTGCATTGCAGCTGGCTGCTGTTGATAAAAATCCCTCATCCCTTTGAATGTTAAATTGAAAGACTAAGAAAGCATTTCCAAGTGAAGTGCTTCATGTCTGTCTCTCAGGATTCCCACAGCTGGTCCCGGGCATGCCTGTCTGATGCTCTCATTCGAGGAAAACTGCCTTTCACCATTGCTGCAGACAGAAAAAAATAAATGAGCCCCTTGTTTGGTTTAGGACACAGAGACATTTGAATATGTACAGAGGATCCACTTGGTGCTTTAAAAAAAAAAAGAGAAAACAGGATACAAAATACTAAAAGAGATCAAGCATTTGATGGACAGCAGTATGCGTCAGTTTAGTGGTAGATATTAAATAACTTAAATATCAAACCATTCTATTCATTCATTGCTACCATTCTCGCCAACACTGGCCTCAAGATAGTGAACAAATATTTCTGGCTTAATTCATGACCCTGTTCCCCCTACCCCACAACACACTTCTAATTTCTCTCCAGAAGAGAAAGATATATACTATGCAGAGTTTTCTAGAAATGCTATGTTGTACAGACTGACTCCTTGCCTCCCCCGGCCCCCCCGCCCCGCCCCGCCCCGTGCCCAGTAAATCACATGCAACCGCAGTGTGAGTTTGCCGGGAATTTCCACTGAAACCACACTAAGATATTCTTGACTTTACCTTTCTACCGTGCTCACTGTGGCCTTGTGACTTGGTCGGCATTTCGTAGTCTGCTGAAGGTGGGTGCTGGGTTCCGCTTTGGTGGGGAGACCTGTTGCCTACAGCACCCACCCCCGCCCGACGCCCCCGCATGTCCGTTTATGTCAACTCTGCCTTTATCAATGTCTTGCCTCCCGTCCCCACGCCAGCCGCCACTTCCTCAACTCTCAGTAGAAGTTATTTTCAGGATTAGCCTTCCTCAGTCGTGGGGGAACCCTACGCTTTGCCTAGGTCTCTAGGAATGTGTGTTTACTTTTTTCTGCCCAAGGGGTACCCTTTAAAGTTTCCAAGCTTAATATTCTATATAATGAATTCAGAGCTTTTTCAAAGCATTTCCAAGGTCAGGGAAGCATTTGGCTTGTAGGATGTCTTCCTTTCGGCCCCAATCTGGTACCTGAGCCATTATAAACTTCCCATTGTTGGAGAGAAAGATAAACAGCCAGGTGAACCTGTACAACTTACTCACAGCCCGCTGCTGTACTTGTGGCCTCTGACCTGAGACCTAAACTCAAAGAAGCTAAAAGCCTCCGGGGGATTATTTAGGTTTCAGAAAATAGTGCTTATCACACCAGGAGTACGGTTTCTGGAGAGATCTAAAATCCCCTAGCTCAGCTCTGGGCTCTCTCAAAGATATCAGATCCCCGCTGTGGCTTGTCCAGATCCCTGGGAGACTACAGGTCCTTTGAGCTTGGGTTTTTACCGCCATCAACCAGGGAACTTAGATTCAGGGGACCAAAAAGGAGTTGTGAAAGATTGTTCCCATGGTTCTCTTTTATTCTCTTCCCTAATCCCTCTTGTCCTGGCCACATAGTTGCAAATTAAAGAACTACTTGACCAATTCTAACAGGTTGGTCATTTCATAGTTTTGAAACTTTTCAGAAATCAACTTGTTTTCCCATAGGTTCTTATTTTTCCCTGTATTCTGGAACTATGTTCTCCTAAATATTTTTTTAAATTTAATCTATTGCGATTGTTAAACAAAAAAAATGTCTAGTGGTATAAGAAAACATCCTCCAATAGTTTGTTTTAAAACTGATTTTCTGAGCTTTCAGCCATTTGAGGAACTGCTCGGTGTTGGGTGGTGGGGAACAGGGCACAGAGATGCCATGGCTCAGCCCTGGAGCTTTGAGAGCCTTGGGTTGGTTTCCAGCCCCACCCTGCCTGGTCCTGGGAGCAGCCCCTGTTCTGTCCAGCAGCCAGTGAGGCCCTGTGCACCTCTGAGCACATAATGAACCCTCTGACGGTGGCAGCTGTAATGACGACATCGTAGGCCTTTCCTGGCCTGTCTTCCTAGTTGCCTAATGGGGTTGTCTTGGTACCTTCTGCCTGAAAATTCATGAACCTGGGTTGGTCAATGGCTTTGAACTAAAGGTATCAATTCTGTAGGTGGTAGCTTGTGGCCCCACCCCTCAGAGTGACCTAAGAAACGCACATAGGAGATGAAGGCTCCATGCTGTGTCAGCTGTGTCACAGGATGCCCGCCTTCACGGCTCTGAAGGGACCTGTAGGATCAGAAGTCTGAGGCTAGTAATGAGGAGGAGAGCCGGCCCCACACAAAACATGACCACAGGAAAAAACCTATCTGTGTAACCACTGAGCCAGGTAGGGTGTGACTGGCCACTTAACACCCCTGAGGCTTCAGATCCTCAGTTATAAACCAGGAGTGGTAGACGAGGTGGTCACTAGGTCCCCTCATGGCCCTAGTATTCTGTGCTTCTGTAAATTTTCACCGTGTGCCCTCTAGCTGTCCCTGGTGACCCAACATCCAGACCACCTTTTCTTCCATCCGTTTTCCCACCTGAGACATCGCAAAATGGGAGTTCCCTCCTTCTGGTTCTTGCTGTCTGCCTCCCCATTTAACTCTGCTAGATTAATTCATACTAAGATATTAATGGCTGACTAGTTTAATAGGTTTTATCCCACTGAAATTTGCATTTGTACAAATGTCACTGTCTGGGGGCTCCCTACTTCCGGGTGTTGCTGTCTGCCCCCCAGTTTATCTCTACTAGATTAATTCATACTGAGCTATTAATGGCTGACTAGTTTAATGGGCTTTTATTCAAGAGAAATTTGCATTAAAAAAAAAAAAAACCTCTCCGGGAGGGAGATAGGATCTCTAAATCCAAAGGAAAGCACACTCATGGTGACGGTTTCAGGCACTGTAGGGTAGGCTGGAGCAGGGACCTCTGGTGACCTCAGCCCACAGCAAGATGTGGCTGTTTCTTGTGCTGCCTTTCTACAAAGCCTTATGCCCACAGGCGGTTGGGGGGCCAAATCAGGCCCGTGGGGGTGGCCCTCAAGGGCCTGATTTCTGCTCTGACCTTACACCACTTGTGCTAGTGGGAGGTATAGTCACCTTGAGTGTAAAGGTGACACAGTTATCAGATGGTCCCCACCCCTTTCTAGGCACAGGGGGTTTCCTTCCTTTAAAGACCTGTCCCAAGGCCGGGCGCGGTGGCTCACGCCTATAATCCCAGCACTCTGGGAGGCTGAGGCGGGTGGATCACCTGAGGTCAGGAGTTCGAGACCAGTCTGGCCAATATGGTGAAACCCCATCTCTACTAAAAATACAAAAATTAGCTGGGTGTGGTGGTGGGCACCTGTAATCCCAGCTACTCGGGAGGCTGAGGCAGGAGAATCGCTTGAACTTGGGAGGTGGAGTTTGCAGTGAGCCGAGATCATGCCACTGCACTCCAGCCTGGGCAACAGAGCAAGACTCCATCTCAAAAAAATAAAAAATTAAAAAAATTTAAAAAATAAAATAAAGACCTGTCCCATACTGAGACAATCAGCAACCATACCTGAATTGCATGTGTGCACCAATACAACAAACTAATGAAGTTACCAAAATATAATTCAACAACTGTGATTTTCAAAATGAGCCAACTAGTGTCCCAGGCAGTCGTGATGCACCCTATGCCAAAATCAACGTGTTTCCTTTTACTAACGCCATTTGAAATTTAACGGCTGAGAATCACAGGCCTTCTTTGATACAAGCTGACTTCCATAGTTTTTCCAAGTCCAACAATGCTACGCTGATATCTGTGCTTCCACAGATATCAAGGAATTCTTCCAAGGTTCAGAAGGGAAATGGTCTACCCCAGGTCATCCAGTTAGCTTAAAAGGAGAAATAAGCCCAGATTCTCTGCCCTTCAAGTATCTGCCCCCTACCCCAGACTCTCCCATGTACAGCTATTTAAAAATCTGATGAGTAAATCACCCATATATTAAGGCAAGAGCTTTCAGGCTCTGCAGTCTACTCTTCTGAGCCACTCCTAAAGAGTCTACATGCAGGCAATTGTATCCCACACTCTGGCCTCACCCATGCTCTGTGGACTTCATGGAAGATTCAAACAATCGATGGAATCAGGGCTTGTGAAAGGTGAGCGTTTTGAAATTCCTCCTGCCTTGTCTTGTTCCTGCAGCAGGTTGAGGGCAGTCTTCTGCTCTCTCTACACCCACAGGGCACCAGACACAAGGACTATACCACAATGAGCCTCCTTCAGTGTCTGGGAGGCTCAACAAAGAATGAGTGAGCCCCAGTCTTATCCAAAGAAAGGAGCCTCACATCTCCCCAAATGCCTGTGTGTCCCCGTGTCAACATTCCCACCCACCTCCTTGGGCTGTGCGGTGGCTTGCACCTGTAATCCCAGCACTTTGAGAGGCCAAGGCAGGAGGATTGCTTGATGCCAGGAGTTCAAGACCGGCCTGAACAACATCATGAGACCCCCATCTCAACAAAACATTTTTAAAATTAGTCAGGTGTGGTGGCGTGCATGTGTAGTCCTAGCTACTTGGGAGGCCGAAGTAGGAGAATCACTTGAGCCCAGGAGTTCCAGGCTACAGTAAGCTATGATTGTGCCACTGCACTTTAGCCTGGGAGACAGAACGAGACCGTGTCAAAAAAAAAAAAAAAACCTACCTTCCTGCCTTGTAGCCACATTTCTCAACCCAGCATCTCTGCCTGGAGACCTGAAACCCCATGTGATGTAAAGAAGGCAAAATGACAAGGTCAGCCTGCTCAGTAGCAATTTGAAACAACGCAGGTAGTTTGGAAAGCAATCCCCATAAGGAGAAGGGCAGCTGGGGGAGGGGACAGGAGTACTCTCTTCCCTTTATTAAAATGAGATGCTTGGCCTAGAGCCTGCCAAGGTCCAAAGGATGCACCTGTACACAACACTGTTTACTGAAATAAAAAAACATCTTAAATATTTTTTTTAGCTCGGAATGAACAAGAGGAACAGGAGGAGAAGAGAGAGATCAAGAGGAGGCTAACCCGAAAGGTAGGTGGTTCTCCATGCCAAGAGCTGGGACAGGAGAGGGTGGGCTGCCTGCCACACCTCTGCCCTCTGCTGGCCTCAGTGGCCTCACCGCTGCCTGGTTCCTCTCCTCCTGTGTCAGAGAGTGCCACTCTCTTACTCTATAAGACCTCTCCACTCAGCTTCATGACCCTCAGTCCTTTCAGCTGGTGACACTCAATGTTGTTTGATTTTGTGACACCCACCTACTTCCTAACAACTCGATGGCTATTGCGTTGTATTTTTGATTATACTAAATGTTTTGTTTTACAAAATTCACTATAATCCCATTAAGCAATGGGAAATTCATAATCAAAATCAGTAGTTCAAAGGCCAGGTTCAGTGGTTCATGCCTATAAACCCAGCACTTTGGGAGGCCAAGGTGAGTGGATAGCTTGAAGCCAGGAGTTCGAGACCAGCCTGGGCAACATGGTAAAATGCTGTCTTTGTCAAAGTAAATATACAAAAACTAGCTGTGCATGGTGATGTGCACCTGTAGTCCCAGATACATGGGAGTCTGAGGTTGGAGAATTGCTTGAGCCCAGGAGGCAGAGGTTGCAGTGAGCCGAGATCGCGCCACTGCACTCCAGCCTGGGCAACAGAGCAAGACTCTGTCTCAAAAAAAAAAAAAAATTACTAGTTCGAATATTACACAATTATTTGCTATGACCCTGGGAAAGTATAGACTTTTTTTTTTTTTTTGCTCCCCCTGACACTATTCTTTCCCTAGGAATTAAGAACTATGCAACTTTATTAGGCTAAATTACGAAAGTACTGACAAATTTAAAGCAGATGTTTGAGAAGCACATAGCTTAAAGTCATAAAACTGGAATTTTAATATAGTCTTAACCCCAAAAATAGATGGTTTGGCAATGCACTGTAGCCTCGCATGCATCTCATTCCACATGAGTGTCCTCTTTAATAATAAACGCATTGTTAAGGCTATTCTTGGATGATGCTGAAAAGTTTAATTAATTGATGACATGCAAGATACAATACTCCCTTCTGTCTGACGAAGTCAAAGTGTTTTTAATCAGCCTCCTACAGTGACCATCTTGAGAGAAAGATACTCTCATATCTTAGCTACAGTTAAGAGGCCCATTAATATTAATTTTAAAAAGGTTTATTAGTGGATTTTTCTCTCCAGAAATATCACACAAAGGAAGAAATTCAGAGATCCTGAAATATCATACCAATTATTAAGGTGATGGTTTGTATTTCTCCACACTTTCCCTGCGAGCATCCCAAATACCTGGTGACAAGCCAAATGCCAACCCAATTAGCAAGAGCTGGACAAACAAGTGCCTGAATGGCCAGACGACTGGCTGGGGTCACCCTGGTGGAGACTAGAGCAAGAGCTAAGTGACTTCACCAGCCAGTCGCTGTCCCACCCGTCAAGGTTGGACCCTTTACATCCTTAAGCCCACCCACTCTTTGGATGCAGGGTGCAGTTTTTCCTGAGCTTGAGTAGTGAGAAGAGCAGGAGAGATGCATTAGCTTTTTCTCATCGTGTCCTTGAAATGACTGGGGCTCGAAAAAGACACTGTGATAAACTTTCATTTCTGATACAGAAAGGTCTAGACACTTAGAAAAAAAAAAAGTTGTTTAAATCAGATTTTCATCAAATTTTTCAGAATTGGTTGCTGGATCCCCAAAATTCACCCAGTTTTAAGGTTGCTTGCTAAAAGACGGTCACAGAGAAATACTTAGACATTTATTTAATTCCTATCTCTTAACAAAGTTGATATGATTTTGCGGAGAACTTGACTAACTGCATGATTTGGTAATGAGCGAGTAAAGAGTCTTCCTTTCCACACCCATCTCCCTAGGGTAGGTGACACTAGGGATGGGGACCCCAAATAGTTCATAGGTTTTGCGGGTCTCCACAATCAAATAATTGCCTCTCTGTTCCTGCTCACCTCTCCTTTCTTCTCCCAGGGAAATGGCCTTGGAATTTTAGCATTTGCCCTCCCCTGGGACTGGCTGGGGGGGTTAGAAATAAGGAGCTTGAGAGGGGATAACTGCTTCTAAGAGAGAGACTGGAGAACAGAGGGGCAACTTCCATATCTGCTTTTGCGGGCAGAGATGTGGCGCCTTCCGGCAGGTAGGGAACCTACATCATCACTTCCTGGCCCTGTGAAGGTTCTTCTCCTCTTGAGCATTTATCACACTGAGACCAGATGCCAGTGATGGGGGCTGCTTTACAGTGATCTGCCTTCAGCCCAATAACTTCTTCAATAAAATTCTATTTAACTGTAATGCACTAGTAAGAAAAATAAAAAATAAAGCGTAGTAACTGAGGCTGATAGCAACAGACCAGTCATTTTCTCTGACCAAACTGAGACTAATATAAAAATTACATGCTTTGTCTTTTTAAAAAAGACATGCCTGCGGCCAGGCGCAGTGGCTCACGCCTGTAATCCCAGCACTTTGGGAGGCCGAGGCGGGCCTGACTTTGGCTGCAAAGATTATTTTTGCAGCATTCAAGGAAGGACTTCAGGTTCCAGATGCCCCGAAGGCTACAGCCAGCACCAGGCCAAAGGTGCGTCTTCTGAGCCTTTCGTGGTCAGGGACATGAGCCCATGCACACAGAGGAGCGTCCTGGTGGCCGTTTGTTAGTGCTGGGGTCCGTGCACCAACTGTGACTCTGAGAGGCAGCAGCCAGCTGCATCCTCGCTCATTCCCTCTGAGCACTTGTGCTCTATGCTGTCTTGATTTGGAAAGACGGTGTCCAAGGCCCCGCGATGTTCAGGCATAAGAAACAGCCCCTGACCTGCAGCATTTATGCTTAGTCTTCGGTTCACTCCAGACTCTGCCATAGATAGGACATTAGTAAAATCCAGGTCAGTTTCCAGGAAGAGAAATTTGAAAGTCAGGGCTTAACAACTTTTCTCACATCATGGGTGCACTCAGAAAATAACCCTTTGGGCCGGGCTCGGTGGCTCATATCTGTAATCCCAGCACTTTGGGAGGCTGAGAACGGCGGATCATTTGAGATCAGGAGTTCGAGAGCAGTCTGGGCAATATGGCGAAACCCTATCTCTATTAAAAATACAAAAATTAGCCGGACAAGGTGGCGCATACCTGTAATCCCAGCTACTCGGGAGGCTGAGGCAGGAGAGTTACTTGCACCCAAGAGGCGGAGGTTGCAGTGAGCCGAGATCATTGCACCATTGAACTCCAGCCTGGGCAACAGAGTGAGACTCCGTCTAAAAAAAGAAAAATGAAGAAAAGAAAATAACACTTTGTCTGGCCCCTTGAGGTAAACCCAGCAAGTCCTGAGGAACACAGACAGGATTCTGAGTAGGAGTCTGTTTATCTGGAGTAAATATGGCAAATGTTGCATGTCTTTATGTATTTTAATTATAGCACAAAATCTCCCTGCACTCACATTGTGGAGAACATGTTTTGGAGTCAGGATGACTGCTGTTTTTGTTTACGGTGACCACAGCCATAACAGCCTGGGAAGCCTGTGGGTTCCCGCGACAGGCCCACACTGGTGCCAGAATGTTGTCGTGCCTAAGAAAGCCAAGGGAGGCCTACATGCAGTCTAGGCAGGGGGGCCGGCACCAGAGGCGGCTGAGCCCCTGATCCCCAGAGCTTCCTGCCTTTGGCTGAGAGGGAGCTGTAGGCCTGCCTTGGCCCTGTCCGGGGTGTGCCACCACTCTATTTGATACCTGCCAGCCATCCTCTAATTGTGCTCTGCCAGCGTGGGAGCAAGTTGGAACATTCTCGCACTAGCCACGGGTGTCTGGAAGCTGCCTGTTGCAGAGTCGAAACTGCCAGGGTGGTTTGGACTCCATTGTGTTTGTTTTACGGGCCTGAGTTGCAAGATTCTATGAGATAGTGTCTTCTAGTAATAGAATTACACAGAGTCTAGGGCTCAAAGGGAAAACTGCTTTTAAATAGCATTGATTGAACATCATTTGACAGCATCTTAAAGAGAGCAACTGTGTTGCTCCAGGAGAAATAAACCTGGTGACAGGAAGAGATAATAGAAATGTCAGCCTTATGTTGCTAAAGTAGAGGAAGGGTCTTCATGGCTAATATCGGGAGATGGCAAAATACATACGAATCTTCCTTTTACTTGCTTCATCCCTCATTCCTGCAGTCCTTCATCATGCACCATCCAAAGGGCTGGTCCTGAGTCTCCCTTGGCATAAATGTGGCCTTTTTCTGTACTTACTCAACTCCGCATTTGTTGACTGACCTTCCCCTTGAACTTCTTGCAGAGGGCCGTCAGCAATGTTTGGGCTGACCTCTTCAGCCAGCAGATTCCCATCCCTGCATACCCCAGAGTTTGCATACCATTTGCACATACGCTTTTTTGCATCTAAAACCCACACAAAATGCACTGCAAAACCCCCTTGCAGAAAGCACTCGATGTGACACAGATGTGGATTCACAAATCCAAAATAAGACAGAATCATTGTAGAATGTCCCTGTCACCTGGTGGGAGTAGGACAGATAAGAAGAAATCCACAACAGGCGCCCACAGCCAAACAGAAAGACAAGCTTCTAGTAATGACTGGGACTCAGCAATGTTATGAAGATAGAGACTGTTTACTATCGATTTGTATAGGTGTAAAAACAGTACTGTGAATATGCTTTGAAGTCCTAATCTTTATATATTCTATACTGAAATATACACAGATAAAATGATATGATGCCTGTGATTTGTTTCAAAGCAATCTACATGTGGATGTAGTCAAGAGTTGATTATTGTTGAAGCTGGTGATAATACACCAAATTCATTACATTAGTCTCCTTCCTTGTTTTGAAAATTTACATAATAAAAGATTTTTTTTAAGTTTAAAAAAAAAAAGAGCTTGGCCTAGAGGGTATGTAAGGGATAACAAAGCTCTCTCTTAGGACCTAGAAACGTCCCACTCCCAAGAGTCAGGAGACTTGGGTCCCCCCACCCTGGCCCTCCCCCTGCCCCTGCCCCTCACTCACTATGCGATGCATCCATCGCCTCACTGAACCTTATTTTCCACACCTGCAAGTTCACAGACAGGACCAAGTGCCATGGTCAACCCTTCTGGCTGACTGGGTCCATCTCTCTCCCTCCCTGCAGCTCAGTCAAAGGCCCACGGTGGAAGAGCTTCGGGAAAGAAAGATCCTCATCCGCTTCAGTGACTACGTGGAGGTGGCTGACGCTCAGGACTATGACCGCAGGGCAGATAAGCCGTGGACCCGCCTCACCGCTGCAGACAAAGTAAGCAGAGGGGAGTGCTGGAGAGTGGGAGGCAGGACCGTCTGCTGGGTCTCGCTGGGCTCACCGCTGGGGAGCGTGTAGGGAGACCTGCAGCCAGGCCTCAGCCGCAGTCCCCATAATGGAGTGTTGAGACCCCAACACCTTTCCCCAGGGGCCACAGATAATCTGCGGAAAGGCTGCTGAATCGGAGAAAACACAAGGCACATAATACTGTGCCCATTTTACAGGAGGAGGAGCAGCAGCCTGGGAGGCTGTGCCCAGAGAAAGAGAATAGCACTGGATAGGTGTAGACAGGTGAAGGCAAGAGGCTCCAGGCTCATCACAGCCCTTCCGTATAGGGGATGGTGCTGCCGGCATCCAACGAGGGATTCACCAAACCAAAAGAGAAGACAAAGTAGACGCATAACCCCAGGAGGGAAATAGGGCATAAATCAAAGAGACGTCGCAAAACATATCTCACTGCACTAGCCCCTCGCCGATTTAGAAAACAAAAAGAATAATCTGAGGTTCAGTTTGTTTTTTAGGAAAAGCAGTGATGCCAATGAGAAATCATTTTCTCTGTCCACCAGACAAGGTATCAGAATGAACCTCTGTTTGGTAATCCTCTCTGATTCTAGTCTGGTCACCATGAGGAGCTGGAGGGTTAAGGGCCTTTTTAAAAATGTAGTCTGTGCGCCAGGCACAGTGGCTCACGCCTGTAATCCCAGCACTTTGGGAGGCCGAGGCGGGTAGATCACTTGAGGTCAGGAGTTCAAGACCAGCCTGACCAACATGATGAAACCCCATCTCTACTAAAAATACAAAATTAGCCGGGCGTGATGGCACACACCTGTAATCCCAGCTGCTCGGGAGGCTGAGGCAGGAGAATTGCTTGAACCCAGGAGGTGGAGGTTGCAGTGATCCAAGGTCACACCATTGAATTCCAGCGTGGATGACAACAGTGAAACTCCATCTCAAAAAAAAAAAAAAAAAAAAAAAAAAATATATATATATATATATATATATATAGATACACGTATATATATATATATATACTGGAATAATGATTCTGCCCAATGTGTAGGTAACGATAGAAACTATGGAGTGTGTCAGGGGCCTTCTGCTCAACAGTCCTGCCTTCACTGTCCGTTTCAGGGACCCAGGGTTTTCTTATATGATACAGCAGGAAGTCATTTATGGCCCAGGCTGGCTACATTATCACCAACCCTGGATCCAGGAGGTGCAGGAAACATGTATGCAGGCACATTGCTGCACTTGGCTGGGACGGAAGCAGCAAGAGGCAGATAGACTTCCAGAGACGACCTCGCCTGTGGCGGGTCAACCCACAGACACCATGTGTGGAAGACTGTGCCCTCCTCTGTAAACACAGCATTCACATCTTCTCTGCAAGGGAATTTGTGGGAGCAACCCAGGAACTGGCATTGCCATGCCCCTGACAGACAAACCCAGCTCCCCAGGAGTGTGTCATCTAAATACGAAGAGGAAGGGGCTTTCACTCTTGTCCTCTCCTGTCCACACTCTCTCTGCGGTATGCTTGCAAGGATAAGGATATTAGCAAGTGTGCAAGAAAACCACAGACATCTCTACTTGCACCCTCATAGAGTTCTGAGTAGCTCTTAGGCCGAAAACATATCCAGTTTCTCAATGGCTGTTGGGGACAGAAGACAGGAAGCATGGGGTGACCCCTGCCCCCACCCCCAAAGCTGCTACCCAGGCACTTAAACCTAAGCCAGCCTTCTTTTCCTGGGGAGGGCCATTCTGATCCTACAGGAAGACTTTTCTCTCCTCAAACTCCTGGGGCCTTGATATTCCCATCAAAGCAAGTATCGGCCATAGACAGAGCTATGCAAGAAGGCACACGTTTGCAATTTCCACCCTTGAGGAAGGAGTGAGGTTGTCTCTGGCCCCAGCTGCCTTCTTTACCAGCCCCTCCTCCTCCCCTGCTCTCTCATGGCCTCTCTTTGCTGTCTGATTCCAGGCCCTGTGTCTTCAGTGGCAGTATTATAAGGATGGGGTGATTCGGGATCATCTCAGAACATGTGAGGTTATTCAAAATGTATCTCACATGGTGAAATACATCACTGAAGAGTCAGGGAAGTTGTAAAAGAGCAAAAACAAACTGTTGGTAGGGAGCTGGCCATCACCTGTCCCCCTAATTTGGTTGGAGAATTTGATCCACGCCTTCTGGAAGTCTCCACCTCGAGGCATCACTGTGCCTGTGCTGAGCTTTGTTTATTTATGGAAGATGAGAGGTTGACATTGAATGTGTTCTTGGGCCCCCAGGAGTGTGGGGTAGGTGTACACCACCACTGATGCCTCAATGCCACAGCTCTATGAAAAGAGGAAGAAAAACACACTTTGGGCAATAGCCTGTCATCATTTGCAACTTAGATTTAGGGAAGGAGGGGAATCTTTGTTTTAAAGGACATCTCAGGTGATTTTTCTTCCTCCCAATGAAAGAATCCATCTTAAACTTGTTTGTCTTTGTTGAAGAAGAAAAATATGTTGTTAGGAATGAACTGAAAGGGGAGTTTTTTTCTGTCTCTCTCCCATTGCACATTGATGGGCTTCTGTTGATTCCAGGCTGCCATCCGAAAGGAGCTCAATGAATTCAAAAGCACTGAGATGGAAGTTCATGAATTGAGTAGACACTTAACAAGGTTAGTATTAAGGGTTTTTTTTTTCCTTTTTTTCCCTCAAGTTGCAATATTTATCTCCAAATAAAGCTCTCCCACTTGTGGGACATGAGTGGGTTGGAGGGTGCCATGAGAGGGAAGATAGTAGGAAGGCAGGCATGCGGTTCCACTTTAGGTTACTGAAACGAGGAAGTGGAACACAGATGGCCCGGGCTAAAACCAACTTTCTGCAAAGTCTGAGTTTCACTCATTTAAACTAAAGGTCTGATAAGCACCAGACTACCAACGACCCCAAGGTGGGTTTTTGTGAAAACTTAGGTCAAGGAGAAAAGATTGTTGCCAATTTGCAACCAGTCAGCAGAGGCCAAACCTGAACAAAATACCACATCCACACGGGACTTCCAAAGTGGACCACTTCTGTTATTCCCTGACATTCTCCCTGACAGTCCAGCATCATGATGATATTTGGGAAAACCGAGGCATGGAGTGATTAAGAGGATTATATAAGGTTGCATTGCTAGTTAGCAACAGAGCCATTGATTTAATTCTGACTTTCTTTTGGGGGGAACATTTAGAGAAATAGGATATAGCAAGTATTTAGTCTAGAGACTCAGAGACACAGATTGGGTTCTGCACCTTGCTGCTGGATCCAGGCTGATGGCAGGAGGTGGAGGCCACCAGGGCTGCCCCAGATGAAACTTTCAAAGCCAGGTGTGTGTTCAGTGGTACTCCTGTGGGGATGACGGTGGGAAGCTCGCACCTCCCTCTCACGGTCAAGAACCTCCCTGAAGATGGGAGATTGGACTGTTGAATCCTGCACCTTTGGCAGCCCCTTGGTCTTGATGTAATTGTTTGTTTCCTTAGGTTTCACCGACCTTAACAGTCGAATTCCTCTTGAGTGCTATGCTGTCTTCAAAACATAAATTTATAAGAACCATAAGTGCTGGTATTTATTCACTTCCCCATTACGATGTAAATCTTCTGAACTGCCTTTTTTTTAAAAAGAAGAAAAATCAAGGAAACACAATCAGGATTTTATGTGTGAAAACGCAAAAGTGATGGCTCGGCGGTCCGAGCTGCTGGTCCCACTTCTGACACCAAAATGCATCCCAACCCCCGGCAGTGCCAAGGGCACCAGCAGGGCCCTGACTGAAGACTGTCTGGCAGGTGGAACGGTCCTTGTCCTCTCCAGCCAGGCCCAGCAGGCACTACCTTCATGAAGTCTCCAGCAAACCTCTTCCTCACAAGTGTCTGTCATCTGAGTCCAAAGAAAGCTGAAGGGGTGGGTTTGTTTTGGGGGTACTGTGCAAAGCTAATGATCTGGTTGGACTTCTACACTTGGCCAAATGTACTGGCTCCAGACATGACATTTGGTTTGGGGGCCCTTTGAAGTTGATGCCAAGAAGGAGTGAACACTTCTCAGTTGCCCCTGGCTTTTCCCTCCTTTCAGCCACCACCCACACAATGAACAAAAGGGAAGGGCCCATTTCTGGGGGAGTCTGGCTGCCTCTTGGCTACGAAGGCTGGCACTGAGCACCCATCCTGCTCCCTCTGCCTGAGCTGAGCTGCCTTTCAGGAAGCTCTGGTTTAGAAGGGGAAAGATGTCATATGCTCAGTTCAAATAATCAACCCAACTGTGTCCAGAGTGTCCAGTGTCATGAGTGACCCACGCACACACACAGCCATTGCTAAGGTACTCCTGTGCTGTTTATAAGTCTGAGTGGGAGGACCCTATTGAATCCTGTGGGGTCAGAAACTGCTTGGCTGACATTTATTTTCTCTGTGCGCCTTGAAGCTGATTATATGGCTTGGGAGTTCTTAGCTTCTGTGTATAGGACCAGTGCATGCAGGCCAGAAACCACTCCTGTAGGACTGGCTTTCCAGCCACTGAGGGACTTGGAACCACTCCATGGCCTTCTCTTTTTTTTTTTTTTTTTTTTTTTTTTTTTTTTTTTTGCACTGAAGAGTTTCTGTGAAGGAGCCCCAGAGTTGGGCATGTGCCAGAATCAGGCCAACACCAGCCACACCTGTCCACAGTGCCCCTTCCTGCTCCAGTTGATCCAGAGAGCTCCTCCCTCTACCCTCATGATGCCAGGGAGCGTGACTGTGGGTGTGTCTCTGACTGGGACACCCAGGATAGGGTGTGCGATGAGGCCAGGACCCTCCTAAACCCTAACAGCATCCTAACGAGGCCCATTGCAGCTTTCGATTTCCTTCATAACAGAGCTCGCAGGCCCTCAGTTGCAGAGCTCTCTCACCTTCTGGAGTGACTCCATCGTTACTCCAGTCTTTCTAGGTGGTGGAACTCTCCACCACACATGCCATTTAGAAAGACGCCAGCTTGGCCTTTCCAAAAAGTTAACCAGTCGTCTCCCCACCACAAACCCTGTGGGAGCAGGTTACTCTTAGGATGCACACCCGTCAACGAGGCCATTGCATTTTTTTGCAGGCATGAACGGCTCCCATCTAGGCACTAACCCAGGAGCCAAACAACTGCTGGGGAGAGTTCAGGGCAGCTCTTTGGGCGGTGCCTCCAGCTGCAGCTTTGCCTTGCCACCTGGAGCCAGCACGCCTCTGCCCGACCCAAGGAGGATGCCATCACTAGATCCTATTTTTTTTTTTTTTTTTTAACTCTTGAATCTGAATAGTTCCTGCCGTGGGGAGAGGTATTGTTCAGGGAAAATGTGATCGGGATTTTAGTGTGGCTGTAAACACAGTCTTCCCGAAAGGCTTACTGACGTTTGAATGTGCAAATGGTATGACGAAAGATGTAGGGCTCTTTCGTTGAACTTCTCTACGGCGGGCGGGCGGACACGTGTTCCAGGTGGACTTGCCTGCCGGCCAGGCTTTGAGTCTGAACTTCCTCTAACTGCAGCTGGGCTCCTGGCACACGCGGTGCCCTGGCATGATGGTCCTCCCTGGCCAGGAGCGAGTCCTAAGGAAATTCATTCCATTGACCGGACTCCTCCCATGATAGGCCCATGGCTTCTCTGCTGGCCTTAGTTCTTGGCCCTTCAGATTCCCTGGGGATATAAGGCCCAAGCGGATCTCCCTGCAGCCAGCCAGCAGACAGCCCAGGGTTTCCGCCCAAAGTGCCCTCATGTTGCAGTCCACTTTGTGCATGGAAGATATTGAACACAATTTCCACTGCTCTTCCTGCAGGGCCTCCTTTCCAGCAGTCACTTGCTCAGACTGAGGGGTGCACCTCCCCTGCCATTGACAGGTCCTGCGCCTTCAGGATGGGCTATTTCAAGCCCGTTTTAAGTGGCTCTTACACAGGCTCAGCAACCTCTGTGGCCTGCAGGATGGGCCTTCTGCTGTCTCTTTCCTTTCTTAAAACCTTAAGGTCTTTCTAGAGACCTATTCAATTTTCTTTTTTTTTTTTTTTCACTACAATGTCATGACAACTGCAGCAATTTGTGTTACTTTCCAAGATGACAATTTGACATTAATTAAGGGAAAAAATAAAAAGGTGAGCTAGATGACTTAAAATGCATCTCTTTTTTGAAAAAGCTGTAGCTGGCAAGTCAAAGTTTATTTTATGTGTGTAAATTCCCAGTTGAGCATTTTTTTCATTTGGATTAGCGTGAGAGGAAAAATGTGAAATGTCTCAAATCAAATGCTTCCTTCTAAAGATTAGACATTGCCCAACCCTGCCCCCGCCCCCAATCAATCAGTGACAGAAGAGACCGCCATCAGCCAACTAGCTTTTTTTAAATGGCTGATATATTCATCTCTAAAGGCCCTCAAAGCACTGTAAAACTTTTAAAACTTTAGCCTTTATGTCAGATTAGAGAAACCAAACAATGTGACGGTACATGTGATGAAAAGCTCTGGGTTTATTTTTCTCCCGCTTATGAACATGTATTTTTATTTGCCGAATGAAAATCGTGGTGTGTTGCTTTGATGAATGGAATTTCAGGCTCTCCCTGTGCACAGCCGGTGGGCAAAGGTCACCTTAAATGACTTTTTCTCCCTATCTGTCTGTTAATCCCCAGACCGGTTGCATTTTCCAGTTGCTTCCTGGGTGTCTGTACATAGTTTGTCTTTGTATAGGAGTGAGTGTGGTGACCGTCAATCCCCTAATCTCCCAGGTTCTAATTTAACAGATGATGGCTGTATGAGGAAAACGATGTAAATAGAGAATACAAATTAAACTGGATCTCTGTGGCCTAGGTTTTGTACATACAGAAACTGCATGGTATTTAAATTATTGTTTGTCTCTGATGATGTATGCAGTTTCTTTAAAAACAAACCAAAAAAAAGTAAAAAAAAAAAAAAAAAAATTCTTGACTCTTGTGTGTTTTGTTATCAACCAGCAGCAGAAACCACCAAAAATGCTTTGACTGGGAAAGGGAGGTTGCAGGAATGGGAGAGGTCAGCTCATCTGCAAAATACATAGTGAGAGTGAGTGGACATACGGGACAACCGCATGTCTCCTCTGGTATTATTGGGGGAAGGAAGTATTGTAGCACATACATTAACTTTCTAGAAGACTTTTGTGTACTAGGATTTTTTTCCTCAACTTTTTTTTTTTTTTGAGACTGAGTCTTGCTCCGTCGCCAGGCTGGAGTGCAGTGGCGCAATCCTGGCTCACTGCAACCTCCGCCTCCTGGGTTCAAGAGATTCTCCTGCCTCAGCCTCCCAAGTAGCTGGTATTACAGGCACGCGCCACCATGCCTGGCTAATTTTTGTATTTTTAGTAGAGATGGGGTTTCACCATGTTTGTCAGGATGGTCTTGGTCTTGACCTCATTATCCGCCCACCTCAGCCTCCCAAAGTGCTGGGATCACAGGCGTGAGCCACTGCGTCCGGCCTTCCTCAACATTTTTATAAGAATATCTAAAATGTCAACTGTCCTTTTAACGATCTGGGAAGGCTGGAGATCTTGGCTCACTGCAACCTCCGCCTCCCTGGTTCAAGTGATTCTACTGCCTCAGCCTCCCGGGTAGCTGTGACTAGAGGTGTGCACCACCACACCTGGCTATTTTTTTTTTTTTTTTTTTTGCATTTTATTTTTAGTAGAAACAGGGTTTCACCATGTTGGCCAGGCTGGTCTCAAACTCCTGGCCTCAGGCGATCCACCCTCCTCGGCCTCCCAAAATGCTGAGATTACAGGTGTGAGCCACCGTGCCTGGCCTCTATCTCCGTTCTTGAGAAGCCTGAGTATTTGATGTATAAAGCAAAGAACTGCATTGCATAACCTTCTGGTTACTACTTGTCTTTGAAGGCTTTCAGCGGAAGCAGAGGGGCTGCATTTTAGGTGGGGGACGTTGCTGGGTAGCATATCCTTCGTCCAGCAGCGTAGAAAGGCTGTTCTGGTAAAGGGCAACCTCGTGCCGTGCTGCTCAAACCACCTTGCCTAGGAATCACCTGGGGGTCTCGTTAACATGCAAGTACTGAGCCAGCAGGTCTGAACAGGGCCTGGGAGTCTGCATTTCTAATAAGCTCTCAGGGCCTGCTGATGCTGCTGGTCCAGGAATCCCACTTCTGAGTCTCAAAGGCTGGGAGAAGAATCCCCAAAGGGAGCCACCTCTCCTTTGCCTGAGATCTCTGAGTGCCCCCATGTACTGCTCATATCTTTGCTGGGAAGCAGCAGTGAAGCCCTCCTGGATGTTCAGGTCCTGCAGTATTTGCATCAGAGTATCTGTGCCCAGAGCTCTCACCTGTGCAGCCAGGGGGCCCCTGGAGCAGCAGTGGCTATGACAGAAGGGGCAAGTACTTTACAAAAAGGTTTTCATATTTCAAAAATCCATCAGTTTCTCTTTCTTTCTGTCCTTGCAGAGCTTTTTTTTTTTTTTTTTGAGACACAGTCTTGCTCTGTCTCCTAGGCTGGAGTGCCGTGGAATGATCTCAGCTCACTGCAACCTCTGCCTCCTGGGTTCAAGCGATTCTCCTGCCTCAGCCTCTTGAGCAGCTGAGATTACAGGTGCCCACCACCACGCCTGGCTAACTTTTGTATTTTAGTAGAGAGAGGGTTTCACCATGTTGGTCAGGCAGGTCTTGAACTCCTGACCTCGTGATCTGCCCGCCTCGGTCTCCCAATGTGCTAGGATTACAGGCGTGAGCCACTGCGCCCGGCCGCTCTCTGACTTTTGATAAATTAATCTGAGAACTTGATTGCAAGTTTTAGGGCAGTGAAAGGACAAGAAAGAAACAGCTTTGATAAAACTCCTAGCAGACTGCCTGGCAAGAGGGAAGGAAACTGGCCATAATCCTGCTACGGAGGGAGCCCTTTCCCAAGGAAACAAAGGTTGTGGCTACACATTCTCTCTCTGCAGGAAGGGGCAGCCTGGTGTGTCTATCGCATCTGTTTATCTGGGCCTCAATTTCCTCATATGGAAAACAGAGACAGTGAATTAGATGTTCCTAATATTCTTTGGAGCATCAACTTGTCCATGATTTGGGAATACTGGCATTTTTAAAACATTCAACTTAGTTATTAAGAAAGAGTTAACTTTAAAGCAAGTCCGGCTGAGGCCTGTCTCTAACAGTTTAGATTCCTCTCCTTCAGGTCACCACAAATCTGCCATCTGTCCCTGCAGTCCCTCCCTGCCATGCACTGCCCTCCTGGAGAGCTGGGTGGCCCTGGGACCTACCCTCCCAAGTGCCTTCATGGGGCCTCATCCCGAAGCCGCCATCAATCAGGTTATCTGACATCCTTCTGCCTCTCCCTGCCCTTGGGCAAAACACCCTGGAGTGCTCTTGGGTCTTGATGGGTGATGTCTACGACACAATGCTTTGTCCCCTACAGCATCGCAGGTTTGAGGGTGCTCTGCGGATGTAGCTACTTAACCTGTTAAGCCAAAGGACACGTTTGACTTGTTTGACTCGGCAAACGCTCCCTGGCTCACTCTCCACAGGTCCTAAGTGATCTCCTCCACGGGTGTGGCTTCAGATGACTCCCTGTCTATGGCTGTAGCTCAGATCTGTCCCAAGCCCCTGGCCCAGGTTTTCTAAAAAGCAGCAGGGTATCGTAGAGTGTCCTGCAACTTGGATGGAGCTAGAGGCCATTATTCTAAGTGAAGCAACACAGGAGTGGAAAACCAAGTATCGTATGTTCTCACTCATAAGTGGGAGCTAAGCTATGAGGACACAAAGGCCTAAAAATGAGATAATGGACTTTGGGGACTCAGAAGGGGGAGGGTGGGAGGAGGGTAGGAATGAAAAATTACACATTAGGTACAATGTACACTACTCAGGTGATGGGAGCACTAACATCTCAGAATAAACTACTATATATTTTATCCATGTAACAAAAAGTCACTTGTGAGGCCGGACACAGTGGCTCACACCTGTAATCCCAACACTTTGGGAGGCCGAGGCAGGTGGCTCACCTGAGGTCAGGAGTTCGAGACCAGCTTCGCCAACATGGTGAAACCCCATCTCTACTAAAAATAGAAAAAATTAGCTGTGTGTGGTGGTGGGTGCCTGTAATCCCAGCTACTTGGGAGGCTGAGGCAGGAGAATCACTTGAACCCGGGAGGGAGAGGTTACAGTGAGCTGAGATCGTGCCACTGCACTCCAGCCTGGGCAACAAGAGCAAAACTCTGTCTCCAAAAAATAATAAAAAGCCACTTGTACCCCAAAAGCTATTGAAACATAAATAAATAATAAAATAAAATACAGATATACTAATTTTTGAAAAAGGTTCTCCCACCTGGATGACGGCAGCCATGATCTTTCTGCCTGTGGCCTCAGCATCCAGTCCTGCCATGAGAGTCATGTCTCCCAACTCAGATGGGCTCACCCCACCCTCCCTCTTGGTACCTGCCTCCACTGTCTTACCCATCAAGCCCCACTCTGCAGTGTGGCATCCGTAGTGACAGTGTGGCCCTTGCTCACTTCCGCCAGCCTCACCTCCTGTCCCCTGCTACATCACTCTGCTCAGGCTTCCCAAGCAGACCCTTCTGGTGCGTGTGACCTGGGAGTCCTGTGAGGGATGCTATTGATGTGGCCATGTTGTGGTGACCACCTCAGGGACAATCAGGGTTTAACAAGGGCCCTCGGGCACTGAGCAACTAAGCTTTCCTGAAAGGAGTCCAAGAGAGGTCTCATGTAGGCAACCTTGGAACTCAATGAGAAGCATACAAAGAAAAAAAAAGTATGAACAAATAGCTGTCTCTTCTGACACCTGGCAGGTGGCGGCCCTGATTTCTAACTCTGGCTACCTGGTCACTTGATCCCTACCAACAGCACCACTAACAGCTCCCACACAGTAAACACTTACCGTACCCCAGGCACTCTGTTAGGCCATCTTCATGCACCATTTTCTTTAACCCTTACGACACCTTGGTCACCGATGAGGAAACTCAGGTCCCCAAACAACAACGTGGGCAAAGTCACACAGATGGTAAGTGGCGGAGGGGCTTCCAAACCCAGGTCTGCCTGACTCTAAGGCAATGCCCTTAACCTCCCTGCTACGCTGACGTGTCGTGGCTTTCCCTCTACCTTCTTGAGTTCACACTTCCTCAGCATCCATCCAGTTATCCCATTTGCCTGTCTTGAGTGATTACATAGTTTTCTGACACTGAGGATCACAGACGGAAAGATCATGGACTGCCTCCAAGCCCCGGCTTCCAGCTCCTCCCTCTCACCTCTCATGCACAACTTTGTCTGTGATTAAGCTGAGTCTCCCGCTTCTCCACTCCGTGGGGACCTCCCACAAGCATTTGACAGTCAGCCAACATTTATGCCTTCCTGCAAGGGAAGCAGAAGTCACGAATGAGGCACTTGTACAGTGTGGGTCCTACCTAGAGCTGTTGCAAAGGCAGGAAGAGAAGGGCATGCTACCTAATGAGAGAGAAGAACACCAGACACTTCATCGTGTGTGAGCGTCCAGTCCCTTACCTAGAGGCTATTTTCTGGGGGGGAAAAGGGTTCTGCTCCTAATCAAATAATGCTCTCCACATTTCATAATAGGGAGCCATGATCATCCACTATTTCCATGGGCAACACTGCAGAGGAAGGCAAAGGGCTCTCATTAATTAAACTAATGAATTCATCTGCAGGAGACAGGAAGAGTAAACCACGGAAACAGAATTGACTAATTCTTCTTCCGTTAAGATGCATCTACCCTGAGCCAGAATTCCAGAACTGGTTCCCCTCCTCATCCATGATGAAGACGCTGCGGCTCATGTGGTCACAAAGGCTTGGTGTTTCCTATGTGGAGATACCATTGCTGTTCTACCTTTAATCAACAAAACAAAACAAAACAAAAACGAGAAAGAGAAATGGTAGAGGGAGGGAGGAAAATGCTGTCTGTTCCTTAATCACCAATCACCAACCTGGAGTGGTCACTGACACCTTGTCCAGTGTGGCAGGGGGGTCCCTGGGGTCCATGGTCCTGGGGTCCATTCAGAGCCCCCACCCAGAAGAGGACAAGCCAGTCTTCAGCTACACAGGTAAAAAAACACTTCACACATGGATTGAACTTCTTATCTCAGACAGTCCTGACCAGGGACGGCATCAGAGTAAAGGCTTTGGTCTCACGCAGCAACCCTGTGGCCAGTCCCCGCAGTGTGGCAGGCCTGCCACTGTGCGACCGAGGCCGTCATGCATGAAGCACATCTGGGGCTTTATGGCTCAACACCTGAGCCTCCTGGAAGGCCTTGGCCGCCTCACTGAAGCCCCAGCGTACCGGCTCTGCAAGGCCCTGGGGTTAAAATAGCAAAAATGCCATCTGGCAAGAGGCTGGCTTTGTTCAGACTGTGTGCTGCGTTGTCGCTGGGGTGGTGGGGACATTTTCCAAGCCACCATTAGAATATGAGCTGTCACCTGGGCGAGCCCCACTCCCCCATGCCCCCAGCCCGCTCGTCAGCATCCACGCAATCATGGCAGGAGCCCCTGTGGCAGCTGAGCCACCTTGGGTTTTCCTCAATTCCATCTCACTGACTTGGTGATGACAGCCCCAAAGCAGGCAGGACAAATCCCCTCTTTCTTCCTAGAAAAGTACCTGAAATAACACGCTCATTGTTAGACTCCAGGAGTTGGTGCTGAGGAAGGGTCCTTGGGGCTGGGACACGGAGAACAGCCACCGGTCACTGTAGACCCTTTTGTCCTGGCTGCCTTTCCCCTCTATTGGCACATGTTCCTTTTCCATCAAAAATTTAGTTACAATTATTTTTTTAAAATAAGAAGACCAGAAAGAACACACAGGGCTGACTGCCTTTTGTAGGACAAAACTCGAACAGGGAAATTTAACTTGCGTGTAACATGCACACCCAGACGACCTTATTTCAATCATACCCAATTTTAAAATCCAGGAACCGGCCACAGTAAGGAAAGGCAGGCATGTTTCAGGCTGTCCAGCAGCTGGGCAGAAAAACGGAGACCCACTGGGCCAAACAGTGAGAGGCTCCAATTGAGCCATCCTAGTTCAGGTCTCCCTAGTGACCCCCCTCTGTGCGGGGAGGTAAGTGCGTCTCTTGATATTTTTAGTTCACTGTAAAGACATGGTTTTTGCCCTCCAGGAATCAGCTAGCTATGCATGAGCGGAAACCCTGCAGGTGCCGAACGTAACTGATTGGAGTGGGGAGGAGGGGAAGGACAAAGAGTGACAGCTTCAGGTTTGGAGAGTAGTTGAGTGATATTAGAAGCAAAAAGCATCTCTGATTTGGACAGCAGAGGTGTGCACAGTTCTGCTGTGGTTTCAATCTTACTATAGGCCCCAGTCAACAGGACAGCACAAATGCTCTTTTTTTGACCGGACATTCGGCTGGCTCAGAGCAAGTAGCGGGGTAGAGTCACTTAGATTTCAGCAGCAAAGCTGTGCGGGGAGGCAAGATGCTGCCTGGGCTGCCTCCCCGGCCTCAGCATCATGCCTAGGTGGAGGAAGACGCCAAGGCAGGTTTCTTGAGCCCAGTGGAAAGCTGCTTGTGCTGCCCCCAGCTCCCTCCCAACAAAACCAAAGGCCATTCATGCTAAAAGGGTCACTTAGTCCAAACCTTCTGGTCACAACAGAGGAAGGTGCTCTGCTGCCCTCAGCACACCAAGGGGGGACACCCCTAAAGAAAGCACTAGAAGGTGGGGTGCAGTGGCTCATGCCTGTAATCTCAGCATTTTGGGAGGCCGAGGTGGGTGAATCTCTTGAACCCAGGAGTTCGAGACCAGCCTGGGCAACATGACGAAACCCCATCTCTACAAAAAATGCAAAAAACTAGCTGGGCATGTGTCTGTAGTCCCAGCTACCAGCTACCGGGGAAGCTGAGGTGGGAGGATCACCTGAGCCCAGGAGCTCGAGGCTGCAGTGAGCTGTGATTACACCATTGCACTCCAGCCTGGGTGACACAGTGAGACCCTATCTCAAAAAGAATTTTTTTAAAGCAAGCAAGGACTAGAAGCTGCACTGCTGCCAGCACCCAAGCTTCACCCCACGGGGCCCCTCCTTGCTGCATTAGCACTGGCCACTGCATCACATCCCCACACCATCATCCTGAGACACCCCTGCCCCCAGCACCAGCGGAATGAGTTTTGCACCCCAGCACTGTGCTGGTCACTTTCATCTCTCATCCCCGTTTTACAGATGAAGGGGCTGAGGCCAAGAAAAAACAGTCACACAGTTAGTAGCAGAGATGAGCAAAGAACTCTCAATCCAGTTCCCTTGACCCTATACCACTAGTGAATCCCAGAAAGGGCAGTCAGAAAGATGATGGTTTTAGACATAGATTTAAACCCATATCTGCCTTGCTAATCTGCATCTGCTCTGGTGGTGTCAGTTAGCATTAGGTCTAACAGTCTTCACATAACCAAAAACTCAAATAATAGTGGCTGAAACAAATCGGGATTTTTTAAAATGTAAAGGCAGTCTGGAATGAAGCAGAAAAGAGCGTGTGTGGTAGTGACACCATCAATGTGTAGCTCTATTTTTCGGCCCCACCATCCTTATCATGTGGCTTCCATTCTTGATGTTGCCCCACATTCCAAGATAGCTGCTGAAGCTCCTGCCATTATGGATGTGTTCCACGCAGAAAGTAAGAGGAAATACCAGGAAGAGGAAATTTACCTGCCAGCTGAATAAATTCTCTTTAAAAACCTTTTCTGGAAGTCCTACCTAATGACTTTACCTTCCATCTTATTGGCCATTCCTTTCAGCAAGAGGGCCTGGGGAATAAGGTATGTTAACACACTCCTGCCTCAAATAAAATTGGGGTGTCGTTAGTAAGGAAGAGAGAGGATGAAGAATGAGTAGGCAACTATAAGGTAGTTGGTAGTTGGTGAGCTGCCACAGAGCTGTCCTTGGTAATGAGCTGATTTGTAATACGGTTAGAGTGACACCACTTCCTAGCATGGAAAGGGAACAATTTGTGGAAAACATTCACATTTCAGTATCAAGATTTTATTCCAGGTTTGATAAACTATTCCAGTGATTTATAAACTTTAGCAATAGCTTAGAAACGAGGTCAGACTAGCTTAAAAATGAGAAAAAGGCACAGGCAAGTGGCATATTTCTTTCTTTTGCAATCAGCATTAAACCTGTCATCATTAGGTGAAATCTACATTCCCTGGGCCCTTGCTACTCAAACTGTGGTCCCCCTGGACAAGCAGCATCAGCATCATCACGGAACTTGTTAGAAATGCAGAAAGCCAGACCCACCCCAGACCTACAGACAGAATCTGCAGTTCACCAAGACCCCAGGGGCTCCCAAGGCACATTCAAGTTTAAGAAGCCCTGTTCCAACGCAATGCCCTAAAGAGTCTGCAATGGGCCTCCACTCTCCTAAAAACCTCTTCTCAGGAAGCAGTGTGCTCTGGGACTCTTAGTCTTTGGTGAGACTCTGCATCACAGCGCCACTCTCTGAGGAGAATGCACATTAAAACACTTGTAGAACTATAATACCTAACATTTACCAACTTCTGTGCCAGACACTGGTCTAAGGATTTCACGTCTGTTTCTGTAGCTCATCCTTCTAACCACTCTGTGAAGTGGGAGCTCGTACTCTCATCCCCTCCCCTGGGGTACAAATAAGGACATGGTGCTGAGTTACCCAGCCAGCCAGCCAGCAATAGGTCCAAGCAGATGCTGCCTCTCTCGAATGTTTTGCCCAGATGGAGAGATTTTAAGGCTCAGAGAAAGATGGGTCAGTGTTTCCGAATGAGGGAGCAGCTTGGTGAAATACACTCTGGACAGGCAGCGGGGATGACTGGGTTCCAGAGCTTGCTCAGCTACTGGGACCTTGTATAAATAACTCACTAGACCACCTGGAACCTCACTTTTCTTATCTGTGTATGGAGTGATCTGCAAGCTCCCCTCCAGCTCTGACGTCCCTCGGGTCCGGACGTGCCTTCCGTATGATCGGAAAATCAGTCAGCCTTAGCAGCTGCCTCCCCTAACTGGCTTTATTTAGGTTCACTCAACTGCCACCCAGCCTGGCCACAGCCCAACTTGGTCTGGACACCCAGATGTTGGACACCCTGCAGGGAAACTATACACCCTCCTGAGCAATCAGAGACAAATAAACACAGCTGCTGCCAGCGAAGCCCCCCAGTTGACCCAGGTGGAGGGGAAGGAGCTGGGCAAAGTCGACTTTCTGTAGACTTTCGGACTGAATTCGACTTGGTATGAAAGTTCGCAAAGGGAGCACCTGGCCATGTGAGTCAGTTCACCAAGGCTGCTGGTGTGATATTACCCCTCTGCCCACCCTCGTCGGAAAGGGCTGGCTGCCCACCTGCCTGGCTGGCAGAAACCAGAAAGAAGTGGTGCAGGAAAAGTCACTGAGACTTAGTCGAGGTGGAAGGCTTCTTGTTACCCCCTGGCCCTTCTGCAGGGCATTTATCTGGTCAACAGATCTAAGTGGAGCGGAGAGTCTTTGAGAGTCTCTTCCCAGTTCACAGTGGACCTGTCCACCAGGCCCCTTGCTCACCACTCCCTGCACTGCAGTAGACACAAGGGAGGCTCCTGGTGGCCCTGCGTCTGCTGTGGGATGCCTCCACCCACTAGGCTCTACATGATTGGCCCACAGGCAGCCCCAAGCCCAGGCCAGACCACAGCCTCTTTCCCATGGATTTAGGAATTGCGTCACGAAACTCTGTCTCCAGAGGCTGGACCTGTAATGTATACATTTAGCGTCTTAGGGTGGGGCATCTTCTACCAGAGTGATCCAGACTGCAGAGACACAGACTCTAGACAGAGCCCACACACTGTGTGGATCATAGATAAGAGGACGAGAGGGTCCAGGGTCTCTTTAGTCCCATCCCAGACTCCAAGCCCTCCCTCTTTAGGTTCTCAGCCTCACCCCTGCATCCTATAATAAAATCTCCTTTAAGCAAGCGTGCTTCAGAACAACTCTATTACTTGTCAATGGAGGCGTCTTAATGCTGAACCAGGCCTTCCCATATTCAACAAATATTCATGAAGAGCCCACGTGGGCTAGGAGATGTGCTTGACACTGGGGGAACGAAAAAAAGAATAAGTCATTACCACTAACCTCAAAGAGGTCACATAAATCTGGGACGTAAACAGATCATTCTAAACCAATGTATTAGTCTCAATGTTTGTCTTCCCCTAAAATGTGTGTGCTGAAATCCTAGCCCCCAGGGTGATGGTATTTGGAGGTGGGGCCTTTGGAAGGTGGTGAGGTCTTGGGGTGGTTCCTCATGCATGGGATTAGGACGCTTGTAACGGGCTGAAAGAGCAGAGTTCATTCCTTCCACCAGGACACAGCAGGAAGGCACCATCTATGAACCACACAGAGGGCCCTCGCCAGACACTGAATCTGCCAGTGCCTCGGGTGTGCTAAAGGCAGCCCCTGGCTTCAAGAATCTTGCATCTTAGAGGGAAACCACATGGAACACTTAATAAAAGTTCAAGACAACCGAACAAGAGACTTCCAAACAATTATTGCTAAATGAGTGGTCCCTGAAATGTTACAGAAGCTCAGAGTTAGGAAAATGCACTTTGAGCTTGGCAGTTAACAAATTTTCAGAGAAGGCAGAGCTGAGTTAGGCCTCCAAGCATACGGTAGATTCAAACAGAGACAGTGCCTAGCCACACTCTTGCAAATGATGCTCTTGAAAATATTAAATATCCAGAGTTCCATGCTTCTAAAAGTGCTTTCACAGCCAACTCATGTGATGCTCACAAGCACGCTGGGGAGGGAGGGATGTCACAGAATCACTGTTTGATGATGGGGAAACCAAGACACAGACTGAGTGATTGGCTTGGTTTGCAAAACTAGTGAGTGGGGCAGATGCTCATGCCCCCTGCCCGGTCCAAGGCTCTTCCTGTCACCTCTTCCATTACTAAGTGAAGGGGACACAGAATCACACATCTCACAGCAATTCTACCCTTCCTCTGGAGCTTCTGGACAGACTCAGTCCACCTTCTCCCTGGTGTGGCAGCACAGGAGTTGAGAGTTTCTACTAAAGATGTCTGGAACAAAACATCTATCTGTTAAATATGTCTTCCCTGCATGCTTGTACACTCCGAGAGGGCAGATACCATGTCTTGTTCAGCAATTAAGCTCAGTACCTGGCCCATAATTAAGACTGTATTCACATATATTTTGTGATTGAATGAAAACAAATAAAAAGACAAATGAACCAAACATATCGGTCAGAGGAGGGAGAAACGGGAGGTGGGAATGCAGGCCCACTGCGGTATAGCGTGCAGCCACCTGATGTTTAGGAGTGAATCTTCCAAAGCTTCTCCTCTTTGCTGCCCCCCTCTCAAATCTTCTTAGTATTATGTCCAGAGGGCAGGCAGAAGCAGGGAAAAGAGAGATGCTAAAATGTCCAGCAAGCACCAGCTTGCTACTTATTAAGACTCTAGGAAAGGATGATGGAGAAGACCAGGAAGTGACTCTGTGATAAAGCCAGTGCTTAGCGTGAGCTCTGGCAGTCCCGAGTGCCTGCCATGTAAGTTCCTGGTAAACTGCAAAGGAAAACCTCAGTATTAGGTATGAGTTGGAGATGTGAACCTTAAGCGCTTGCTATGACATTCAATTTGGAGTTGTGCTTAGGATGAGCTTCTAGGATTCTTGTGTGTCCTTCTCTGATGACATTCTCCAACTCCCTTTGTCATTGTCCTGGAGTAAAATCAGCCCCTGGGAGGGGGCTCCCCTTATGGGGAGTTATCACCTCATCTAGAAACTGTCCACTCACTTTTTAACCTCCCCAAGGCAAGGCTGACAGAGGGACCAAAGTGGAAAGGGCGACTGGTCGGGAAAGCCATGAAAGGCCAGCACCCCCACCGTGGTCCCCCAGAAATCACTACCACCCTCTGTTCTCCACACCGCCATCCATCACCCCTCCCTCCTACTCAAACTGGTGCCAGCTCTGGAGGAACATCAGCTGATCTAGGAGCCACGGCTTGTGCCAAGAGCCACGGACAGTTTCATTTGGCACACAGTCTCAAGGAGAAACGGCTCTTTGTTTTCACCAACAGAGGAGATGCCACCAACTCCTGCTCCCCAAATTCCCACACTCCTTTCCCTCTCTGTCAAGGGCAGAGGAAAGCACCTTCTGGCCCTTCTAGACCCAAAACACCCAGCTAAAGACAAAGGCTGCTGACCTTATGTGACCCGGGCAGATTCACTGTCCACACCCCACACCCCTCACCAGGCTCCCCAAAGGCTGCCTTGGCTGGAGAACTTGGGATGTCACTCTGCTGCTTACGGTCACAGAGCTCGAGCAGGCGCTGTCACTTGGGCCATGTGAGCCAGTGACTCATTTTAGGATCTGGTCCTGGGCATCTAAGCTCTTTGCTTACCCTCCTCATCCCCACTGGCTTCCCTCCAGGTTCTTCATTTTCAGACAGAAAACACCAAAACCTTGAGTCACCATAGGGACGTGATAACCACATGACAGGAAACTTATGCAATTCAAGACAGGGCAAGTGCCTGTCATACCCAGAGCTACAGTGCAAGAAGGTCCTCGGAGCTCCTTCAGCGCATCATATGATTTCAGTGTTGCCTCATAATTTTCAGGCGAACTTTCCATTAACAAAGAAAGTGCTTCATTCTCATGAACCCTGACCTCATTTCCTGAAACAGCCTTGACACACAAGCCTGTGTACACACAATCCTCTACACAATTATACCTCGACGCAATCCATCCATTCGATTTGTCAGCAGGCCAAAGCCACACCCCCAACACACACACACTCTCCAACCTTCCTCGGCCTTCCTTTCTCCTGGCCAAGAGGACTGAGATCTTCTCTCATCTGTGTTTAAGGCAAATCTCTAGACGGGAAAGAGCAGAAACTAAATTTGATCATGTTAAATTCCAGCTTTCCAAGGGCGAGGAAGAATCTCACATTTTAGCCGCAATAGTCTGTGACAGGAACCGTGGGTTGTAATATATGAAGGAAAAATTCTGCAGTATCCTGACAAAATGTTTTGAAGAAAAGGCATATGGATGTATTTTTATCAGGAACTGCGCTCCTCACCCAAGACAGCAGGCACAAACATTTTCAAAACACTCAGCTCTCAGCAAAGTGAAATTCTGCTATGAAGCGAAACTGGATGCTCATCCTCTCCATCCACCACTTTCTCAGGATGGGCCTTAAAAAAATCATTCCGCCAATCAGTGTTTTAATAAAAACTCTCAGATTGACTAACTTCAAGAAAAAATCGCCGCCCCACACCCTACAGCCAGAAAGGTTTTACCAAACTGGGTTTGACAGAATATACTTGCAGAATATTTATTTTTAGATCTCTCAGCAGTACAGTAAGAGTCTTTCGTTTCAGATCAGCTGGCCTCCAGCCAAAGCAGCGAAGTCAGAGGAACTTCAGCCCCTAAGCCTTCCTGCTCCCTAAGAGTACCAGCGCTCCTGCCTGGCTCCGGCATAAATGGTTGGCAATAAGTCATTTTTTATTAAAATTTTAACTCTAGGCAGCAATTTTGCTTTAAAAGGTTTTTCTTTGGAGTGCATTTTTATTTTAAAAAATTAAATACTCTTGGATATGTTAGTATTCAGAAGCAGCAGATTTCAACAGCTCACACTTTCTCTGAACTTTTTTTCAACAGATATTTCACACACTAAGGAGGGCCTGAATTCTCAGAATTGTACCTCTATAAGTTCATAGCTGCCCTCGTCTTTTAGGGGGTGGGTGGAAAATCCAACTCACCACTCAGGCTCTTGCAGGTCTGAAGGCTAAACCGGTGTGAAACAAAGGGTCCCCTTTCACTCACTACTCCCAAAGCCGGGAACTATCCAGTGAAGAGTGGCCATGCCATTTACGTGGCACAAGGTGGCCCAGGGGTGATGAGCTGTTCACCTTCACCGGCCATTTCTCTCACTGCTTTAGTGCGTGGCACAGTGCACCCTAACATCCCACATTTAACACCCCATCAAGAAAAATGTGAGTGCAGCAAAATATCCAACAAGTACTTGCTCCTAGGAGCAATTCAAACACATTTTGTTCAATAATGGTTTCATTCCAACTGGCCCAAAGAGAAAAAAGAGTAAGGAATTGTTTAAAGCCTGTTTAGCAAGATGAAGCCTCAGAAGGCAGTTGGCTTGGATTTAAACACGTATTGCATCAACAAAAGCCAAATCTGAGGTGTCAACAAAAGGAAGTCACTCTTATTCTAGAAACAGACCTTGAAAGTAACTAGCTTGGTGCTAATTAGAGACAGGCAGGGCAGGCTTAGTTATGCACTGCTGGTTAACACACCCACTCACCCTGACTAAACCGCTTTAAAATCAGGGAGCTATTTTCTAACAACCCTTTTGAAATGCTATTCAGAGATGAACTTTACATTTCTATGTAACTGCAAGATGCTGCTCGCCAACACAGCAACACCAGGCATTTCAATTAAATAATTTTATTGGGGGAAAAAAACCACTTTGAGCACCAAAGCAAGAAAAGTGTATTATTCAATCAGTTTCCCAGATCACATGCCAAGAACACAATGCTCACTGTGGTGCCTGGCAGACGGTCCACAACCAGCGGGTGCGTTCAGCTTGAATGGACCGGGGTCCCACAGTGTTTGTGCCACAAGTCAATGGCCTTGCTCACGATCGCGTCTGAGCTGTCCTGGGGAATCTGTGGGCAAGCAAATCAGTCTTTGTGAAATTTCAGTGTTGACAACTTCAGTGTCTTCCCTCATTCGCTGTGGCATGAAATCCACTTCCATGGGAGTTTGCACTGTTTTTCAGAAAGTGACAGCATAAAAGACTTGCGTCACATGCTACCTGAGGACATGAAAGGGCTCCAGTGTCAGCCTGCCTGGGTTCAAATCCTGCACTGCTCACTAACTGTGCACCCCCGGGCAGGTTACCTAAGCTACCTGGGTTTCAGATCCCCATCTCTAAAATGGGGGAAATGATAGCCTGACTTCACAGAGCTGTTCACAGTAGGACATGAGGTAACCCATGGAAAATACTTAGCACAGGCTTCGCACTGCTAGCCACCTCTGGTTATAATGATGATTATTCATTTATTCAACGCATATTGACTCAGTACTTTATTATAATTTACCAGGCCATTTTTCAAATGTTAATACTATTTTAAAAATGAATAGATTTTGGATTCTGTGAAAATCATTCAGGCATAAGTCTCTTTAATCCTACTTCTTGCCTGGTAAAGGGTATTCCAAGATACATAGCGAGGGAAAAGTTAATTTCATTACCATTGCCTTTTTCAGCAATATACTAGGTTAATACTGTATATTAATAAACCCAACTGGGACTACACCAGAGACAGTAACAGAAATGAAATGGCTTACAAAATCCTCCAAAATACAGAACCCCTTTTGAACTGACAAAAATTACTCATTGTAAAATGACAGATCCCACCTATTCCTTTTCCTGACATGCCTGCTGATAGTCACATGGAGGATGAGACTCTGGTTCTAAGTGGACACATTCACGAGATGGTCTCAGACCATCATTTCCCAAAGACAGGATGCAAACTAACCCTCAGGCCAACTTTAGGCCAAACTTTTTCAGGGAAAAGTGTTTCTTATAATGTAAAAATACACTGTATGATTTCTCTGAAATAATCTAATGTAACAGGAAAATCTCACTTGCTAAAGTGACTTCATTTCTAGATTCAAAATCAAATCAAATTATTATTTCTCTTAAATAATTTCCCTAAAATAATCATTATTATAATTATTCTCTGAAACATTCTAAGGTATTATTTCTCTAAAATCATGTAATTATTTCTCTGAAATAATCTAATGTAACAGGAAAATCTGACTTGCTAAGGTAACTTCATTTCCAGATTCAAAATCAAATCAAAGCACACTTACATTTTCCAGAAACTTTGTTATCTTCTCTGCACTGTTCAGTGCCATAACTTTTATTTTAAAGGTTAATAAAATTTCGACAGCTACAAAAACTAGGATCTTACAGGATCCACTCACAACTTTATCCCAAACCCTACAAAAATAAGGAGATATAATCAAATTATATGAGTTTCAGAATTATGTTTAGCCTAGACATCTCAAATTACAAAATAAAATCAAATTGCTCCAATTTTATGTAAAAGCTTCAAAGAACAACTTTTATGAAATAATCACCAAAACAACAACAAAATACAGAAGCCATTTGAAATCTATTCTAGATACAATCAGCACTAGAAGGAGAAAGGAAAGTTTACTAAAAATTACTGCTCCACTAGGAATCTACCAAAATCATATTCCCTCATGTTGTGAACCTGACATTTCTGAGGAAGAAAAAGAAAATCCTAAACTAATGGTTTATATTCTGCTAATATGCCATAATGCTAATATAATTATAGCCTACTAAGGGACAACAAAAGATGTATATGAAATGGGATAAATTCAATTTCATTGCCAGTGATTCTGGGGACAGACTCCTTAAACTTCTCCAAGGGCGTAAGGAGCCAGTTACTGATCTATAACCACTCTAAAATAATAATTCTGATCATTCCTGTAACTCCTAAAAGTTGGTATTCTACTTCATACACTTAGTTACATATTATCTTATAATGTTCTCTGTGTATTGCACTGTTCAGTGCCATAACTTATTTTAAGAGTTACTGTTCTACTACATCACAAAGTCTTAATGGGTGGCACCTGGACTCCGAAATACCCAGACATGTCTGAAACTGACTGGAAGAACTTAGTCAAATCTTTGACTGCTTTCAGCTTCTTTAAAGATATCATGATGAAACTAACACTAAGATTTCTACTGGAGGAAGATTTGTCACATTTCTGGAAAAAAGGGGCTGACGCTTATATAAACTCATGGAGACCATTTGAGGTGTGACTGCTTCACAGCATCTAACGCACTGAGGGCCCTTAATTTTTCTAATTGTATATTCAAGAATAAGCAGAATCATGTGCTGTTACGGTAGCTGCTGGAGGACTGAGCTTCAAATTACTGTATTGTTCTAAAGCAAATTTATAATCTGAGGGATGACCACATGAAAGGCCAGAACTCTGCTCTAACGCCAAGCCTTCAATATGTCTTCGAAAGACCTACTTGCCTCTGTAAACTGGATTCAGGCAAACATCCCGCAAAGCACCTCTTGAACCAGAGATCATAAGGAAGTTTGGGCGCCGCGGAACACATCCTCAGATGAGTCAGCAGTCTGCCATCTTCCAGATTCAAGTATTGTTCAAACGCTTTTGGCTAAAGATTAAGCAAGAACAGAGATTATTCATTTTCTGTGTCATAACATCATCTGATATTATAGTCTCTGATGAAAAAAAAGTACATGCTGAATTCAAGGAAGTATTAGAAAACAAAACTTCAGAATTATCCAAGTCACTTGTGACACAGCAGTTTCCTAGGTCAGCCCTAACTAAAGTAACAAACCATCCAGGACTGAGGAGTTTCCCAGGACACAGGGCTCTTTCAGTGCTAAAACTGAGGCAGTCCCAGGCAAAATGGAATGGTTGGTCACCCTAATACTAACTTCACTAGCCAGATTCAACAGCCTAAGGCAAAAGTCCAAAGCAAAATTCAGTTGTTCTGAGGAGCTAAGGAAGGCCCATTATATTACTGGCTGGTCTAGAGCAGCAGATTATATACTAAGGAAAAAAGGGGGAAAGAGGAAAGGTAAAACCAAAGAAATAGAGTGGGATTAGAGTGGGGAGAGGGCATTAGGAAGAGTAAGACAAAAAGTGATGGTGATGAGAAGGGGCTGACCAGTCACTGACCATACATACACTGCCCTGGATTGAGCACCACTGTGCACCAGTGCCAAGCAGGCTCACACAACAGGGATGTCCAGAGGGTGAACTCTGTATTCAACATAAATGTGCACAAGAATTTCTTAGAATTCAAGGGATAACTCAGAGGGAACAAAGCACCTGGATTCCACTTGGTAGCCTCTCTCATGAGGTCAGGTGGCAGCCAACACTAGAAGACTGGAGAGCTAATAAAGCCAGCTCCCCAAACCTGGCCAAATCCATCTTGCATTGGCTGCTATATTTAGGCTGGCTGCTATATTTAGGGTCCACTGGCTGAGAATGGGCTCTAAGAGTCAAATCCTAAAGTCCACACTCACTATCTGCAGGAGTACAACCAGGGCCCGCATCACTTAAGCAAATGTAATGTTTATTTTACTCAATATCTATACCTCTCTGCTTCTGTTAAAGAGGAGATTCATCACCTTTACAATGTCCACTATAGTCAGAGACTGTGCTACACACAATGAATGGAGTGAAAGGTAAGAGAAAATCCCTGCCTTCAAGGAGCTTACAGCTTGAGACATACTAGTAAAGAGGTAACTACAATACACTGTAACGCTGTGATGCTATGATGGGAACAAGCACAAGATGTTGGGTACATCCAGGAGAAAATCCTAACCTGGGCTGTAGGAGGCAGAAGCAGTTTCTCAGGAGAGGTGACATTTGAGCTGACCTCTGAAGAACAGACAGGAGTTAGCCAGGCAAAGAGGGGCCCACATCATAATATCTGGTCCAGCTTTCCCCTTTCTGTTTCAGGATATCTCTTCTTCCTGTTTATCCAACCTCCCTATACTGCTCAACGGTTCCTAGAATTTCTCAATAACACTGCAGACAACTTCCCAAACAAGGAAATTTGGTTGGTTTTGCAAAGGGGATATATGCACTTTTTTCCTATTGACTTGGTTGAAAACACACACACAGAGTTATATATTATGTCTCAGAGCAAAGAAAATTTCATCCAAAAGTCAGTACAAATAATAAACAAGATGGAGATGTGTGAACATTTTAAAACTATGTATTGTCTTTTTCCTTTATCAGACAATAAGCTCACGGGGGGAAGCTACTGTATCTGTTTTGTTCACTGCTGGTTCTTCAGTACCTAGCACATCACTTGGCATGGTAAGCACTCAATATATAACTGTTGAGTGAGCAAATCAATACTGTGAATTAATATAAAGTTTTAAATACATCAATCAATATCTTAGTAATCGCTCAATATACATCTTTTTGCCAATATCTAATTAATTTCTTAACCTTTTTCCTGGTTTATTATAGCCTATTATAAGAAATCTTGAAACTCTATTAAAGAATAAAGAGGACATAGACAGCAAGTATAATCACACTCCCAATGATAACTACTGGTAATACTTAGGTTATAGAGCATCTATCCTGCATACATACAGACACACTTCTCTTTCTTTTATTAGTTGAACTCATACTGAATACACGATTTAGTATTTTGCTGTTTGCATTCAAATTGTGGACATTTTCCCAGGTTAATGAATAATCTTAAAAGGTTAATATCCCTACCTAAAGAGAGCTTTTTAAAATGGAGAAGGAAAAAAGCCAAGAACTCTATAGGGAAAAAAAATGCACCTGCCTCTTACCCATATAAAAACATGCTCAACCTTGCTTACAACAAAATAAATGCAATATAAAATTACACTGAAGTATCACTGCCTACCTATCAGAATGGCAAAAATTCAAGACTACTGACATACCATGTTGGCAAGGCTGTAGGGAAACAATCTACTGGTTGTGAGGATGGAAAAGACTATGAGCTCTATGAAGGGGAATTTGGCAATATTTAGCAAAGTAATTTATGCATTTACCCTTTGATCCAGCCAATCTATTTTCAGGGAATCCAACTCAAATATACTAGCAAACACATGAGAAGCTGCATGCACAAGTCTATTTACCTGTAACACTGTGTATAACAAACAGCAAAAGGCTGAAAACATCCCAAATAGCCAACAATAAAGACAGGTTGAATAAACTATATTCACAATAGAACAGTATGAATATATTAACCTGAGAATATTTTGTAGGCTGGGCGTGGTGGCTCACGCCTGTAATCCCAGCACTTTGGGAGGCTCAGGTGGGTGGATCACTTGAGGTCAGGAGTTTGAGACCAGCCTGGCCAACATGGTGAAACCCCATCTCTACTAAAAATACAAAAATTAGCTGGGCGTGGTGGCATGTGCCGGTGATCCCAGCTACTTGGGAGGCTGAGGCAGGAGAATCACTTGAACCTGGGAGGCAGAGGTTGCAGTGAGCTGAGATTGTACCACTGCACTTCAGCCTGGGTGACAGAGCGAGACTCCGTCTCAAAAAAAAAAAAAAAAGAATATTGTTTAAGAATATATACACAGGACAGTAGTATGAAACTATGACAGGGAATAAGGAGTATCTCTGTATACTAATATGGCATGATCTCCAGTACATAGCAAGTAAAAAGAGCAAGATGGGAAGAATGTGTACTGTATGCTACTGCTTCATCTAAGAAAGAAGGTGAATTCAAATACATATGTGTATATATATTTTTTAATGGAAGGAGCTAATATTTATATTGCCTGACCTTTTTCATACTTAGCAAATGATAGATAACATAGATGTGATTTATTATAGATAGATGTGATTTATTATAACCATAATTATGTTTTACTCCTAAACATTTTGGTTATTTTCAATATTTCTATGACCCCCATAGTCTTACTTCATGAGGACAATAAACTATACATCATCAACAGAAGGCAAAACGTGACAAAAATATGTACTTAATCACTCTGAGAGGAATTTATATTAAACTTAGCAAGAAGCTGCTAATAGTGCTTACAAAAAAAACCTCTTTAGCAGAGCTTTAAAAAACTGTGTCAATAGCAATAAAACAAAGATCACTTACTTTAATGATTAACACAATTAAGTTTGAGATGGCTTAAGAAAAACCTTCCATGCCATACAATTGAAGTTGGCCTCTATTCTCCTCGACTATGAGAGACCTTGTCAAAAAGCAGAATTCAATTTGAAAAGCTTGTAAGGAGAGAGGCTATGATGCAATCCTAGGAATCAGGATAGTATGGCAGAATAGACATATCACCACTCAGGGGCATCATTATCTTCTTTTGAGTCCATCACTGTCCATCATACACACATTTCCATAGAACTAAGCAGCAACCTAAACTGTGTGTTATAAGATAGACTAAAGATGGTTTCACTAGAGAGAAAAGTTTAAGCAAATCACTTGATGCCGAAATCAAACAGCAAGCAACACAAGGAAGTTTAGGTTTTGTATACATTCTGGATGACTTTTCTGAGAACTTCATAACTACTTAAAACTACTTGCTAGGCACTGTAATGCATACACAAAAAGAAGCCCCATTTTTAAAGATGAGGAAACGAAAGTTTAAGGGACATGAAGTGTCTTGCTGGTTCTAAAATTCATTTCTGAAAAGAAAAAGGCAAGCTCAAGAATAGCCAAGACATTTTTGAAAAAGAGCAACAATAAGAGACTTTCCTTATCAGCTATCAAAATACGCTAGAAAGTTGTATTAAATAAATCATGTGATTTGGCCCAGGAATAGACAAATACCTCAATGGAATAAAAAGGAGTCCAGAAAGAGATATAGATATAAATATAAATATATATAAAAATGTATTTATATATATATACACACACACATATATGGAAATCCAGTATATGATAAAGGTGGCATTTCAAATCCGTGGAAAAAGGATGAACTGACAAATACACCATGTAAGTGCTGTTCTACTGCTTACTAACTGAGACCTTGGTCTTACTTAACTTCTCTGTGCTTCAGTATCCTCATCTGTAAAAACAAAGATAATATGCTTGAATGAAGTGCTCACTAACAATGTAAATTTAGCACTGCCTGACATGAAGTACATTCTCAGTAATACACCAACCAGACGGGGAGAAGAGGAACAGGAGGAGGAGTGATGTGTTGGTAGAAGTAGTGGTGTTGCAGGTAAGCGTAAGAGTGAAATCCAGTATGTGTCTGATGCCAACCAAAGATAAATCCCTGACAAAGAGCTAAATTTAAAATGTTTAAGCATTTTTAAAAGTTATGAGAAAACAGGCCAGGCGTGGTGGCTCACACCTATAATCTCAGCACTTTGGGAGGCCGAGTGGGGGCAGATCACCTGAGGTCAGGAGTTCGAGACCAGCCTGGCCAAAATGGCGAAATCCCGTCTCTACTAAAAATACAAAAATTAGCCAGGCATGGTGCCACACTCGTGCCTGTAGTCCCAGCTACTCAGGAGGCTGAGGCAGAAGAATCCCTTGAACCCAAGAGGCAGAGGTTGCAGTGAGCTGAGATCGCACCACTGCACTCCAGCCTGGGTGACAGAGCAAGGCTCCATCTCAGAAAAAAAAAAAAAAAGTTAGGAGAAAACAAAAAAATATATATTTTTTTAATCTTGGGGTTGGAAAGGGCTAATTAACCAGTAAGACACAAAAAAGCAAAAAAAAAAAAAATGCTGGCAAATCTCATTGTATCAAAACCTAAAATTTTGTACAACAAACAGAAACTATTTTCAACAAACGTAAGGGATAAGGATAAATATCCAGGGTACAGTCGACCCTCATATCCATGGACTCAACCAACCATGGGCCAAAAATATTCAGGAAATAAAAAATGGATAGTTGTGTCTGTATTGAACAGACACAGATTTCTTTGTCATTATTCCCTAAATAATACAGTATAACAACTATTTACATAGCATTTACATTGTATTATGTATTATAAGTAATCTAAAGTATACAGGAAGAGATGTGTAGGTTATATGCAAATACTATTTGCAAGTCCCATTTTATGTAAGGGACTTGAACACCCATGAATTTTACTGTCTCAATGAGTCCTAGAATTAATCCCCTACAGATCCAAGAGTGACTATATACCAATAACTCTTACAAAGAAAAAAAGTCAACAAAACAATAGCCATATGCAAACATACTCAACTTCACTAGAAACTGAGGATAGGTAAATTAAAATAAGATGCCATTTCACTATCAGATGGATAAAAATGTAAGACATTGATACTATCAAGTATTGGCAATGGGGTGGAAAATGGGAAATCTCATCATCTGTTTGGTAGGAGCATAAATTGATATGGCCTTTGGATGAGCAGCCAGGCAGTTCAAATTTTAAATATGTCAAAAATAAATGAATAGATTTTAAATATGTCTCCCCTCTGCTTGAGCATCTGCTCGTAGGTACCAAGCCTAGAGAGATACGCATACACACAGGGAGCCTGGACAAGGGCATGCTTACTCTCAGTATGGATCTCTTAGGTTTAAATAGAGCAAATTTGTAACAGGAAATGCTAGGAGTAAATATTTTTTAAAAGGTGGTTCTAAATGAGTGCCTTTCAACCCTTAACTACACTTCAGAATTGCCTGGAGCTTTTAAGAAATTAGAATTCCAGGGCCCTACCTTCAGAGACTCAGATTTCACTTGTCTAGGTGGAGGAAAGGTGATGGTAATTTTTAAAAGCTCCCAGGTGGTACTAACAGGAAGTCAGGACTGAAAACTAGTGATTTGTCTAAACTGCCTTGGAAAGTTCTCCAAGGCAGTAAGTTAAAAAACAAAAATAGAACCATAGGGCCACATGTACAGTATAATACTACTTAATGTGATTAATCCCAGCACTTTGGGAGGCCGAGGGGGCGGATCACAAGGTCAGATCGAGAGCATCCTGGCTAACACGGTGAAACCCCATCTCTACTAAAAATACAAAAAATTAGCTGGGCGTGGTGGCGGGTGCCTGTAGTCCCAGCTACTCAGGAGGCTGGGATGAACCCGGGAGGTGGAGCTTGCAGTGAGCCGAGATTGCGCCACTGCACTCCCGCCTTGGCGACCAAGCGAGACTCCATCTCAAAAAAAAAAAAAAAGGAAAGGAAAATCATATCATAGATGCATGCACATAAGAGAATCTTGTAATACACACCAAGCTAATGACAAATGTTTACTTCTTAGAAGGAGAAGTAGGGAATTGCAGGGATGGGGGGTGGTTAGTCCAGGTCTAGGGAAACATGGATTCATCTGAATTGCTGAATTTCTTTTGAGAATGCATTCACCATTTATGTTACGAAAAATAAAGGATGAATTTTTAAAGAATAGCATAAACTATCAAAATGCTACTGACTTACTCGAATATTAAATAAGAAAAGCTAATTAGATCATGGTATGATATAACTGAGACCTCCTGATTTGATTAGGCAACTGACATATTTACTTAAGCTCCATTTCCAGGCTGAAATTATTTTTATTGAAATCAACAAAGTGGATCAAATTTCAAAATCTTAAAAATCAAATTTTACTTAGTTGAAATATATAAAAACTGCTCTTGTAAGTGTTCTCAGAAGCTGAAGGGTCTTGCACATTGCCTTATTAACAATTAACTGCAGTGATCCTCAATGCTCATCCAACCATCATCAGTGCCCCGCATCTCATCTTGCACCCTGTACCACAGTTACCACTTTCAGTAGAATTTTAAAAGGAAATAACCCAATGATTTAAGAAAAAAAGGTTTATTTTTATAAATGAGATAAATAAGGGGAAAAAACTAGAAAAAAAGAAAGTGGCAAAGGAAGACTAGCTTGTGCAATGCAGCAAGTACCATTCAGTTCTCTGCCTTCCCAAGCCAGGCTATGACAGAAACAGCTTGCTGCCTGCCACACTCCCATGTGCCCCTCCTATGTCACTCACAGAGCCCCTGTTTTAGTAGGAGATCACACAGCTTTTTTTAAAAAAAGAACCTTTCCCAGCCTCTACTGCAGACAGGGCAGCCAAGTGACACAGTCCTGGTCACTAACATATAGTTGACCCCTGAACAACATGGGTTTGAATTGCAAAGGTCCCCTTAAACATGGATTTTCTTCCACCTCTGCCAACCCCTGAGACAGCAAGACCATCCTTCCCTCCCTCCTCCTGCTCAGCCTACTCAACGTGAAGACAATGAGAATAAAGACCTTGTGATGATCCACTTCCACTTCATAAATAGAAAACATATTTAATTTTCCTTATGATTTTCTTAACATTTTCTTTTCTCTAGCTTACCTCATTACAGGAATATACTGAATACACATATAACAAAATATGTGGCTGGGTGTGGTGGCTCATGCCTGTAAATCCCAGCACTTTGGGAGGCCAAGGTGGGCGGATAACCTGAGGTCAGGAGTTCAAGACCGGCCTGACCAACACGATGCAACCCCGTCTCTACTAAAAAAGATACAAAAATTAGCCAGGTGTGGTGGCAGGCACCTGTAATCCCACTTACTTGGGAGGCTAAAGCAGGAGAATCATTTGAACCCAGGAGGCAGAGGTTGCAGTGAGCCGAGACCATGCCATTGCACTCCAGGCTGGGCGACAGCATGAGACTCCATCTCAAAAAAACAAAAATGGAAACAAAATATGTGTACAAAATATGTGTTAAACAACCATCTATGTTATCAGTAAGGCTTCCAGTCAACAGTAGGTTATTAGTAGTTAGGTTTTGGGGGAGTCAAAAGTTATATGCAGAGTATCAACTATGCTGGGGTTGGGTCAGTTCTCCTAAACCTACACTACTCAAAGGTCAGCTGTACATGCAGAGGGAAAGCCTAATGGGCCACAGTTGTGGCTGGCTTGTCCCTCTTATTCCTTTGTGTTTACCTTTGCCTTCCCTTTCCTTCTGCCTAGAACACAGACGTCATGGCCGCTGGTCCAAGAGCAACCTTGTGAGCACGAGAGGAAAGATCATTCCTATGAATACTGGAGCAGAATGGCAGCAGTCTGCAACCCTCTCCATACTGTGGTTCTGCAGCGCCAGCTCTGCACTGCCTGGATTCTTAGCTTCTGGTATTTGGGCTTCCCATTATATGCAGCCAAATGAAAACCTTAACTTACACAGAGGGATTACTCTAGACCAGCGGATTCTAGACCAGAATAAGGAATACTATAGAGCAGGACTGGCCACCTCTGGCCTGCAGCAGAGCAAATCCAGCCAGGAACATTATTTTATGCGTTGCCTAAGGTTGCTTTTGTGCAACAACAGCAGAGTTGAGTGGTTACAATAGAGACCATCTGGCCCACCAAGCTGGAAATATTTAGATTATATGGACTTTTACAGAAAACGCTTGCTGAGTTCTACTATAAAGGGTTATTCAGAATTGCAGCAGCCCCAGGAGGTAAGAGCACTCCCTGAAGACCCCCACTACCATTGTTCACTCTCCAATAGCCAAAAAAAAAAAAAAGCCCTCACCAACTGGGGCAAGGAATCCCGGTACTTGGTATTTAATTGGTTCACAAAGCGTCGGGTGATCCAGTAACAGTCGACACTATCTTCCACCATTTCCTCCATGGCTTTAGCTATGGCAAGAAACACTTCATCATCTGGCTCCTGAAAGATTAATAATAAATCTCAAGAGGAAGGCAGTGAAAGAGAGGAATACATATTTCTTTAATAAAAAATGAAACCTTGCTCCCTAAATTTTGAAAAGGCTACATTAATAAATCAAAGTAGGATCAAAAAGCACAGAGTCCCTCCCTGAAGAGGGGAGCAAGGGGGAGAAAAAGATGAGTAACTACAGGGTCAGTGCTGCTTATGAATGACCAGGTTTCAGGCTGAGTGTACAGACACTCCCCAGCTTCTAACATTAAGCCCCTCACAGAGTCAACATAAATCATAAGCAAGTCACTGACTCTCTCCACCCAAAAATATTCTCAGTACTAGGTGAGGATATCTTTGAAAAGGGTGTAATAAACAGCACCATCAGTAACTGGAGACATTTTTCAGCACAGTAATTTGCAAATATTGAAGAGCTCCAAAAAGACTAATAAAGCATTTGCTTTATTTCAAAGCATTCACGCATACCTTCAGAATTTTGTTCTATCTTAAGCAGTACAAAAGTTAAAATGTTCCTAGAATCAGAATTTTAGGAATCAAAAGAATGGCATTTCTCAAACCTTGTGTCAATACTCAGAATGCGAAAGTAAACTCTCAGGTAAATTTCAACAGAGAAATCTTAGAAAAACCGGGACCTTATTTGAAAACCTCTTCTGCTTTCAAACACCATATCATATACAAAAAGCTTTACATTTTCATCTAGGATTTAATAGCTGAAGGATTTTAATGTTAAAAAGAAACTAAGAAGTATCACACTTTCCCTTAAAAAGTACCGACTTAAATCAAAATTGTTATTTTAATGTATTATTTCATTCTAAGCCCTTCTTTCAACTTGTTAATATTCTATAAAATGTCAAGAAAAACATAATTTAAATCATAGGGAATAAGTTTTCTCAAAACATTTTATTAATGTGTCAAAGGAGAATGGAAAATAAGTAGGAAGAAAAGGGAAAGGAAAATCTCCTTTCTTGGACTCCCGTGCAGTTCTGTGCACTGTGCTTGGCACCCCGAAAGGTGGCATATCACTGACTGCTCCTGACCACTGACAGGTCAAGGGAAGAGGACCCATGTCGTCCTTCCTGGCCCTGTGATGAGCACTGCTGCACCCTCTTATTAATGGATTAAAAAATGAGGCAGAGTGGGCGCTAAGTAGGTGCTACGGTTCAAATATCTGTCCCCTCCGAAACTTATGTTGAAATTTAATCCCCATTGTGGCAGTATTGAGAAGTGGGGCCTTTAAGAGGTGACTGGATCATGAGGGCTCTGCCCTCATCAGTGGGTCAATTCATAGATTAATGGGTTATCACAGGAACGGGACTGGTGGCTTCCTAAGAAGAGGAAGAGAGTCCTGGGTGAGCACGTTGGCACGTTCAGCCCCCTCACCATGTGATAGCCTGTGCCACCTCAGGACCCTGCAGAGAGTCATCAGCAAGAAGGCCTTCACCAGATGTAGCCCCTGAATCCTGGACTTCCCAGCTTCTAGAATTGTAAGAAATAAATTCCTTTTTAAAATAAATTATCCGATTTCAGGTATTCTGTTATAAGCAATCAAAAACAGACTAATACAATGAGGATCATGACTGGGAGACGTGGGATGGCAGAGTCCAAAACACACACTCAGAAGCACGTCTGCCTGAGGCTGCAGTAAAGGTGTCTCAGCTTGGAACACAGACAAGCTGAGTAGCGGTGAGGCGGAACCTATACCCTGTCATCTCAATTCCTAATCTAATTTAATTTGATATATAATTTAAGAACTTGTGTAGTACTATCAACTTCACTTTGCCAATAAGTGAAATTTAAAGATGATTGCTTAAATTATTCCAATTATTTTTTAGGGACCTTCTCTCTCGATAAACGTAAGAAATATAAATGATCTTTATTAGCTCTAAGGTTTGTCCATGGATACCTCATCATTAACGTCAAAAAAAATTAGATCTGCAATAAAAATAAATTTTGTAAAATAGGAGTGTTCCAGCAAATCCATTTGAACAATTCACTGTTTTAGCCAAACAAATAACACTTTAATTTCATACTGATATAAATAAAGAAGGAGAAGGGAAAACTCTTCCTTAGAGAAGAATGCCAACTAATACATGCAGAAAGAATGAAGGAGTTAGATCACCATTTGGCAATCAGCATAGTAAAAATTGGTTCAGGCAAGAATCATTAGTGGATGGCTACTTACAAGTCTCAAAGTACTTCTCCACAGTTATTTATTAATTACAAAGAGGAAAATAGTAACCTTACAGTGGAGAAACTCCACAGACACCATCTTACCCAAGTGATCAAAGTTAGCAGCACAGTAATGAGTCCCATACTTCTGTGATATTCCTGCCAATAATGCGTGACCAGAGTTTAATCATGGAGAAACATGAGACAGACCCAAATTGAGAAATGCTCTACTGGCCAGGGCTCTTCAAAAGTGTCAAGGTCATGAAAGACAAAGACTGAAGAACTGTTCCAGGCCAGGCACAGTGGCTCACGCCAGTAATCACAGCACTTTGGGAGGCCAAGGCAGGTGAATCACCTGAGGTCGGGAGTTCAAAACCAGCCTGACCAACATGGAGAAATCCCATCTTTACTAAAAATACAAAAATTAGCCGGGAGTGGTGGTGCGCACCTGTAATCCCAGCTACTCTGGAGGCTGAGGCACAAGAATTGCTTGAACCCAGGAGGCAGAAGTTGCGTTGAGCCAAGATCGCACCACTGCACTCCAGCCTGGTCAAAAAGAGAAAAACTCTGTCTCAAAAAAAAGAAAAAAAAAAAAAAAAAAAGAACTCTTCCAGATTAAAGACTAAGACGTGGCAGCTAAATGTAATGTGTGATCCGGAACTGGATCTTGGATCAGAAGAAGAGCATCAGTGGGACATCAGCAAAATCCCAGTGAGGCCTACAGAGTAGCTGTCAGTATTGTGATTCTCCGGTTTTGATCATTACATTACGGTTGTATGAGATGTAACATTTGAGGACACTGGGTGAAGGTATTTCAGAACACTGCACTATTTTTGCAACTTTTTTCTACATCCAACATTATTTAAAAAGTTAAAAAATAAAAATTTTTTAGAAATCGTCAAATGAGAATACTCATGAGCAAAAGTTTAATAAGGAATAGGATGTTTACATAGCAGTTTTAAAGTGTCTCCCCACAAAGAGAAATAGCAATTACAAAGGGAAAAGTAAAAACTTTCCAGCGGAAAACTCCAGCAGGCAGCACCCTCGCCAAGTGATCCAAGTTAACACTACCTCTTATGGGGCAAATTCACACTATGTGCCTCCTGATAAGAGACACTGAGAAGGACACAGCATCACCTACTTGGTATCCCTGCCAAAAATGAATAACCTGAATCTAATCAGGAGGAAACACCAGACAAACCTAAAGGGAGGGGCTTTCTTCAAAGCATCTGATTATGCCCTTCAAAAATGTCAAAGGCATGAAAGATAAAAAAAGACAGAACTGTCCCAAGTCAAAGGAGACTAAAGCAATATGATAACCCAGTGCAATGCCTAAACCAGGATCCAGTCCTCACCCAGAACTTTGACCGTTTGATTATTTGTGAAGGCATTATTGGTGAAATTCAAATGGAGCTGGTAGATTACGTTAATATTGTATCAATGTTAATGTCTTAGTTTTGAGGACTGTACTATGGCTATCTACAGGGGTGTCCTGTCTTTAGGAAGTGTACACTGAAGGAATCTGAGGTAATAGGGAATCCTGTCTGCATCTTACTCTCAAATGATTTAGGAAAAAAAAAATGTGTTTAAAAAAATACGTTTTAAAACAACAAAGCAAAACAGATGCACACAAAGCAAAACAGATGCTTAAAGCTACTTAGCACCTACAATTTTTTATTTTTTAACTTTTTAAATAATGTTGGATGTAGAAAAAAGTTGCATAATGTTAACAACTGGAGAATCTGGGTAAAGGGTATATGCAAATTCTTGGTAGTATTCTTGCAACTTTTCTGGAAGTTTGAAATTACTTCAAAATAAAACGTATTTTAAAAAAACAAAAAGTAAGAAGGTTGGGTCAGAATGTGCATGGCCATGAATGCCAAGTAAAGATGTGTCACTTTTATTCTAATAACAACAGGGAGCCACCAAAAGTTTTTAAGGCAAAACATGATGTAATCAAAGGCCGGCAAGATGGGACGGTCTAGAGTTGAGCTTAGTGTCAGACAAAAGTGACCACTAACCAGTGGAAAAGAGGGACTTCGAGGTAACTTCCCAGACTCCAGCTGATACATGCGGAGATAGACTTCAGCCTGAGGTGTGGCATCACTAACAAAGCGAACGACTTTCAGGGCATGAAGGACATCCAAGTACTGCTCCTTACGATACATCATCACCTTGGCATGGGACTCGTGGTGTGGAGGCAAGATTCCTAGAGAGAACAGGAAAAACGAAAAAAGGACAAAATACTGAGCCATCACTCCAAATCCCTCATCTATGAAAGAGGATGCCGTGAGAAGCGACCCACACAATTAGGCTAGAATTCACGCAGACATTCAAGTACCATGTAGAATCTCTTTTAGAAATTCTCACTATAAAACAATCTTAAATGTGAAATATTATCAATGTTTGAGTGCTGATGCATCACTGATATGAGAGAGAAATGAAACAACACTGGCAAAGCCCTTGAATAAGTATGCCGCATACATTCAAGATTAGCAACCACATCAATCCTAACAATGGTTTAACTTAATTTATGGCAGCCTCAGGCTGCCTTTAGCTCCTAGAGGTCTCACCCTAGTCTTTGTACTTGGCCCCTACATCTCAGAACCACCAACAGCCCATTGAATTCTTCTCTTCCCCAACAGTTAAAACTTGCTCACTAAGTATCCTATCCTCCAGGTCACAAAAGTCCTTAATCTTCATTGGTGAGGTCACCTTACAGGACATTTCTATGACATATTAAGCTCCTTAACCCATTTAAACATGGTGTCATATCTTTTTTACAAACAAATGGCTCTGAGGAAACACAGTGGAAAGACCACTAGACAGACCAGCCATCCTGGGTTCTAGCCTCGGACTGGATAATACTAGGACTCTGAAATGTGTCTTTCTGGGCACTTGTTTTCCCCACCTGCCAGAGGCAGGAAATGGGATAAGCATTTCACCAAATGCTTCTCCACAGAATGCTAACCCCAAGAGAAAAAAAAATGCCCTCATCAAACAGATTTGGGAAATGGTGACAATGAATTTTCATGGCACTAAGTTTTGCCATAAAGAAAAACATTTTAGGCCAGGTATGGTGGCTAACGCCTATAATCCCAGCACTTTGAGAGGCCAAGGCAGGCAGATCACTTGAGCCCAGAAGTTCAAGACCAGCCTGGGCAACTGGGTGAAGGTATTTGGGAAACCCTGTCTCTACAAAAAATTAGCCAGGTCCAGTGGCACATGCCTGTAGTCCCAGCTACCCGGGAGGCTGAAGTGGGAGGCTGAGGTGGGAGGATCACCTGAGCCTAGGAAGTCAAGGCCATAGTGAGCTGTGATCGTACCACCGCACGCCAGCCTAGAAAACAGAGTAAGACCCTGTCTCAAAGAAAAAAAAAGAAAAAACAAAACAAAAAAAAACATTTTATTTACTCAAGCCTCATTAAACTTAATGAGGCTCTACAGAAGTACAGACTCTGGAGCAAAGTTCCTGGGTTTAAATTCCAGCTCTACAATTAACTGGCTGGGTGGTGACCTTTAGCAATTACTTTATCTCCTATGTCTTAGCTTCCCCATCTGAAAAATGGGAATAACAATATCTAATATCATACAGTTGTTGAGATGAATAAACAAATCAACACACACAAAGCATTCAGAAGAGTACTCAGCAAACACTAAGCTGTATAAGTGTTAGCTAGTACATTTGACTATGAATCCCTCTTTGGTGCAAAATGCCACAGGTTTAGTATTCTAAAGAACACCCCAGAAAACAAAAACAATAGTAGCTAACATGATACCAGTTAATGTTAGAAAAAAAACTTGCTTAAATGTTCTTTTCCCTGAAAGAAATCTTTACTCATGCTATGAGACTGTGTGCCAGGCTTCCAGAAAAGCCAAGGGAACACACTAAAGTGTCTCCTACATCTCGGCTAATACAGCTTAAACAGCTGTGACCAAACCCTCATCACCCTGCTAGAGGCAGCACATTAACCCTTAAACCTGTTTTCTAAGAGCTAGTCCTAAAATGTCTCTTTTTGATATTTAACTAAAATAGTATCAGGAAGTAGGCATTTGAAGTAAAGATCCCTAAGTAATCAAAACTCTGTGCTGGGAAGAGTCAGGCTGTGTCCTACACAGGCGACAGCTCTAAACTTCCAGTGCCTTGTCCTCAAAAAATAACTATGACATGATAAAGAAAGGTGGGCCGAGCGCGGTGTCTCATGCCTGTAATCCCAGCACTTTGGGAGGCCGAGGCAGGTGGACTGCCTGAGCTCAGGAGTTTGCGACCAGCCTGGGCAACACAGTGAAACCCCATCTCTACTAAAATACAAAAAATTAGCCGGGCGTGGGGGTGCGCGCCTGTAGTCCCAGCTACTCGGGAGACTGAGGCAGGAGAATCGCCTGAACCCGGGAGGCAGAGGTTGCAGTGCTGAGATCGCGCCACTGCACTCCAGCCTGGGTGACAGAGCAAAACTCTGTCTCAAAATAAAAAAATTAAAAAAAAAGAAAGAATGGTTAAGAAGAGTAGAAGTGAGGAATAAGCCAGATAGGCTGTAGCACTCAAGAAGTGAGGGAAAGCACAACTGCACAACTCCCATTAATCCACTGCAGTTATTAATAGACACACAGCACCTCCCATAAATCGACACTGTTGACATTACCACTTAAAATGTACCCCAGAAGGCACGGAGAACAGTAACATTTAAAGAAAAGTGCTCTGGGAAAAACTAAAATAGTTGTCACCGCTTCTCCAGATTGTAACTGCACGTTGACCTACCAGACATAAAAGTGCACAGAGACTGCCAGGATGAACAAGAAACAAGTCATTCTGCAGGCCTTCCTAGTACCGCTTATATTCCCTCGCTGCCTCCATATTACATAACCAGACAGGGCTGCAGGCTTCTCAAGCCCTGAAAAGATACTACATTTTGGAAAGAAAATGAGGTCCACAATCTATCTTACCTTCAAATGAGTTCCACAAACGTAAGCTCAAATCCTAGCTCTGCCACTTACAGGCTATAATGCCTTAGGCAAGTTACTTAGCCTCAGAGAGTCTTTTCCCCATCTGCAAAATTAGGATACCAATACCTGCCTCACAGGGATTCTAGGATTACTCTGTATAATCTATGTAAACTACTCAGCCTACTGACAGGCATACAGGGATGCCCAATAAGGAGCAATCATAGTTTATATTCTTCAGGGAATTTAGTACTCGCCACTATCTTACAGTGAACAAACTGTAAGTTTTTTTTTGTTTGTTTTTTGTTTTTTTTTTTGGAGACGGAGTCTCGCTCTGTCGCCCAGGCTGGAGTGCAGTGGTGCCATCTCGTCTCACTGCAACCTCTGCCTCCCGGGTTCAAGCGATTCTCCTTCCTCAGCCTTCCAGGTAGCTGGGACTACAGGCGCATGCCACCATGCCCAGCTGATTTTTTGTATTTTTAGTAGAGAGGGGGTTTCACCCTTGTTGGCCAGGATGGTCTCAATCTCCTGACTGCGTGATCTGCCCGCCTTGGCCTCCCAAAGTGCTGGGATTCCAGGTGTGAGCCACCGCGCCCAGCCAAAAATACTTTTTTTAAGAAAGAAAAGGAGGATGGTAATGGATAGGAATTATATGCTCCAGCAGGCTCAGCAATGATAGGGGAAAGAAAATCTTGGGCTCAAAAGGGATGCTGCCAGTTACTCATGGCACTTAATTCACATTTTCTTCCATAGAAACTAAGTAAGATCAGTTTTCCTTCTCACTCAGCCACTCGCACCACTGGAATTTAGTCATTCACACTTCTAGGGAGTAGTAAGTCTCCAATTCCTCTTTGACAGATTAGGAAGTTATACCTCTATAGCTGAGAATCACAAAATCTTACAAATTTAGAGCTAAAAACTAGGAGTAATTTAGCTCAAAAGCTTCAGTTTATAGATGCAAAAAATGAGTCCCAGAGGGGTCGCCTTCCTCCAGGTTACCCAGCTGATAGCAAAGCCTAAACCAATTCTCATTTCTCCTACTCCAATGCTCTTCCCAGATCTTGTCTCAGGAACATAAACTATTTTCTCTTCTATAGTATCATTAATAGAACAGAAAATAATGAGTGGTAATTGAACCTCCTGGGGAAGATCCAATATTCAGTAAAAGGCCTAAACAAATTCTCCTTTTTCTGACTGATAAGATAGCAAATGATCCCTTCATTCAATATTTTTTAAGATAAATCTTCCAACTCCTGGGTCTCATACCTAGAAGCACCTTCCATACCAATGCACGGTACATGGACGGGAGAGGGAACCTCTGACTAAAAGTACAAAGTTTCTCAGTATCTAGAGGAAGAAGAAAACAATTGTTAGAAGCTTTTCATGCTGATCACAGTATGTCAAGGCACATTTCATTTTTTAAAACTCAAAGAATAGTTAAGACATTTCTTCAGGGGAAGTCTACCATATGGTCAGTAAGTTTAGGAGAGGCAATACTAGTCTGATTTCTAGCCCAAGACTTCTGCCAACTAAGTTATTTAAAAACAATTTGCGGCCAGGCACGGTGGCTCATGCCTGTAATCCCAGAACTTTGGGAGGCTGAGGCAGGCAAATCACTAGAGGTCAGGAGTTTGGGACCAGCCTGGCCAACATGGCAAAACACCATCTCTACTAAAAATACAAAAATTGGCTGGGTATGGTGGCACACACCTGTGATCCCAGCTAGTCAAGAGGCTGAGACAGAAGGATCGCCTGAACCCAGGAGGCAGAGGTTGCAGTGAGCCAAGATCGTGCCACTGCACTGCAGCCTGGGCAAGAGTGAGACTCTGTGTTAAAAATAATAATAAAAATAAAAACAATTTGCATTTTACAGCATTGGAGATGCATTTTGCATATATTACTACATTCCCTATAACAGTGGTAGTTATTAATCACAGGGTTTATTTAATTCACACTGCAAGCCTGTTAGGTAGTTCTTGTTCTAAAAATGCAGAAACTGAAGTTCAAAGCAGTTAAATGACTTGATCAAACTAACATAGCTATTAAGTGGTACAGTCTGCCTTCAAATCCCTACATTTTCCAATAAATTACAGTGACTTCCCTGACCCTCAATTCCTCTACTTATCAAAGGAGAATACCAGACATACTAAAGCAAAGACCGCACAATTGAAGATCAAAGATAAGGTGAGAAATGTTTCAGAAACTTTAAAAGTACTCTATGCAAATAAAGTATTATCTTTAACTACGGTTCAGTTTATTTTACTTTAGTCAACAACAGACCTTATTCAGACTGGCTCAAACTAAAATGTCAATATACAATGCACTCTTAGTATTTCCATAAAAGAAAATCATGGGCTGGGCATGGTGACTCCTGCCTGTAATCCCAGCACTTTGGGAGGCCGAGGTGGGTGGATCACTTGAGGTCAGGAATTTGAGACCAGCCTGGCCAACATGGTGAAATCCTGTCTCTACTAAAAATACAAAAAATAGCCAGGCATGGTGGCACATGCCTGTAATTCCAGCTACCTGGGAGGCTGAGGCAGGAGAATCACTTGAACCCAGGAAGTGTAGGTTGCTGTGAGCCAAGATCACACCACTGCACTACAGCCTGGGCAACAGAGTCAGACTTGGTCTCAAAAAAAAAAAAAAAGAAAATCATGACCAGAGTTATCGCAAATTTACCCAGAAGCAAATTTACCTAGATAATACATGAAAACATATGGGTTCAATAAAAGAAAAAAATACTACTGACTTTCTTAAGAAACCTTTCAAAAACTTCTGACGCTCAGTGAAATATAAATTTGAAAAATCTTTTCTCAAAATACACCATTCTGCTTCACCACATCACTAAAAAATACAGCAAGTAACCAATGCTTCTGGATGTCTTTTAAGAAAATATTTACTTCAGAACATGTGGAGTGATTGAGAACCAATGAGATTAATTTTTAAAAGTACTCACCCAGACGGTCATCTTTTAGGAGAATTTCTAATGATTTCTTTTCTTCAACTCCACGAAACCCCACTTTCTCATAATATACTGAACGAAAGTTTCTCTGAGAGTCCTCAGTCATATTTCATTCTTGGAGGAGACACAGAAAGACAGAAAGGGAGAGAAAGACGAAGGGGAAAAGTGAGTCTAGAAACAAAGAGTCAAGAATTAGAATAATTTTCAATGATGTTCTCCACCTTTTCAATATGATGTACCCTTGCATAGGACCCAATATTAAATTTTTCCTTTAACTCAGTTCTGCAACTATCTCACCTATGCATCTTGGCTAAAAACCAAGATATAAGTTAAAAGTTCTCTGAGCTGATAAAATAGATGGCACAAGGTTTATGCACTAGGTTTCCCACTATACCTATGAGTGCCTAGCACAATAGAACATTCTGTAGCTATTATAAATGCGCAAAGAAAAAAAATAAGTGAAATGGAAGCCAGGCAAGATACGTCAAGCAAATTATACTCAAACAGTATACACTATGATTTCATTTTTTGTTTTTTACAAATTTCATGTATTTTAAAACTTAACACTCTATTCCAAAATGTTAGCAATGGTTATCTTTAGATAGTAGGATTCTAGATGATTTTAATTTCCTTTCTTTTGCTTAGCTACTTTTTTTTAAATGGGCATTTTGTAAAATGAAAAATTAAGTTATATAAAAGTAAAAAGCCACGAGTTCCTCACTTATCTTTCTTTTAAACACAATTCTATTAAGTGTAGCTATCGAAATTCAAAACCCACAACAAATAAATCGCATTAAATTATAACTAGAAGAGGGTAAAGAATGTAGCCAATTGACAGTGATCCCAAAGTCAGAGTTGAAGACGGAAAAACGATTTAAAATCTACCGCAAGAACTCAAAAAGTTCAGTGGTCTCAAGTTCCTTCACAGTAACCTTCATAATACTGGCGGTAATTCATCCAAAAAAAGACCAAGTTAGATTTGGCGTTTCAAGAACAGAAAAGATCTGATGCATTTCCCAAAAAGCACTGCACTGCCTCACCCAAATGCTTCCAGCGTCTGTGCACAAAAGAGTAAATCTTTAGGTTTAAAAACCCTGCGACGTCCCCAGTGAGCAGGGGAGGGCTTCCTTCCTTATTGAAAAGATATCCTCTGAACCGATTCAGTCACAGGAAAGATTAGGATTCGTTTAGAAAATGAAATGCTAAAGGGCTCTGAGCTTTCGGGAGCAGATGTCTTAAAAATAAAAAAGTCAGCAGCATAAAACGCGTAATGAGTGTGGGGATTTATTTTTTTAAAGCATCCAAACAGCTGCATGACGATTTGGTCGGTCCCTGTTGTCTAAGGACACCCATTCTTAGATTGCACTACAATGACAAAGGCGTCCTCTAGGAGGAAATGCTGCAAATAATATCTCCTGCCCATGCGCGTCCACCTGATGGGAAAAGTAAAAACACCCTGGTCCAAGACCCCAGGTCCCATTCTCTCTATGATGGATGCTTCACCTCTAGTAGTGCAAACACACCCGGGTTGAGACTAAGTGGTCCGGGAGAAGCAGAGGAAGCCGTGCCCTGTGCGCTGACCGACCGCCGGGCAGGCGGGCACCGTTGGGGCCCAGGGCCAGGAGGGACGAGTCCTGCGGGAAGGAGGGAGGCGGCGGGGTACCTGGGACACCCGCGCGCGCCCAGACGGCCCGGGAGACAAAACTCAGCGCCGCTGCCGCTGCCGCTGCCGCCGCCGCCGGACGTGACATCAACTCCAGGTCGCCGGGCGGGCGCCGGGCGGGCGCATGCGCAGAGGGCGCGGGCAGGAAGCTCCACCCTCACTCCAGGAAGCTCTGGCTTCGTTTGTGAAACCCGACGGGATGAAGGGCTAGGCTCGCCTCCAGAGTAGTGTAGTTTCTCCCGCCGTGGGCACCCGGCCCCTTGCTACCCCGCAAAATCTCGCGACCATTTACTCTGGCCATCCGAAGGCGCGTGCCTGGGTTGCACTCCCGTGTCCGGCCCTCGAGGTTCTTGCCTAGGGAAGACCCGAGCCCTAGGGCCGTACTTAAGCTGCCTGCGTGCAGGACCCGGGTTTTGCTTTTGCTAATTTCCTCCCCACCCCAGGTATGTGGGAATAGATGAAGACCATCCGAATGAGAAGAAAAAAGGCAGGCAGAGGAGTGCAAGTCTGATTTAGAGCAGGCAGGCTCCCTGGGTTGGTTATTGTAGGTAACTGACTGGTTTTCTGGGCAGGTTGCTGCAGGTTGTGGATTGGAGGTCTATTTTTATATTAGATTTGGCCATTGTCTTAGTATATTCAGCCTCTCAGGTAAAACACTATAACATAGGAGAAAAATGAACGTGTTTTTTTTTTAAAAAAAGATGTGCTAAATGCAAGCTCCTAATTTGTTATTAGTAGGTCTAACAGAACAGAGTTACTCTTTAAAGTAGCTACTAACACTTACAAATGCTTTCTATTTCTGTGCTTGCCTCCCTGGTCCTCGGGCTGGCTGAGCAGCAGTGCCCAAGTAGGTTTTTAAACCGCCAGGGTTTGAGAGAAATCCCCAATGATGGGTATCGTCCCTTTGAAAGTTCAAATCTCTACCAAATAAGCCACACGGATGCCAAGCTTTGAAGGAAACTTAGGACTATCAACAGTGCAGAAGTCCAGTTATAGTGCAGACAAATGTGTGTATAATGGCTAGACAGAACTTAAAAATGAAGAAACGTGTGGTGGTTGAACTCAAACACTGATGCCCCTCCCCACTCCCTTACCACCACCATCTTTAGTTCCTCAGTACTGGGGTACTAAACCTTCCTTGGGTAGTGTTCACATGAGTAAGCAGAGTTCTTCAAGTTACCTTACACAAGTTCCATTTACTTCATCTAAACCTTGGGCCGGTCACTAACTTTTATAATTGCCTTTTCTTGTCTTTAAAATCATCACCAGGGCTGGGCACTTACTGTGTGCAGGCGCTGTTCTATGGACTCAGGATACATCAGCTACCGAAGCAAAGATCCCTAACCTTGTGAAACTGACATTCTGGTGGGAGGACAGATCCAATAAAAACTAAAATAAATAAGTCAATGATGTAGTGTGTTAAAAAGTGATCGGTGCTGGCTGGGCGCCGTGGCTCATGCCTATGATCCCAACACTTTGGGAAGCCGAGGCAGGCGGATCACCTGAGGTCAGGAGTTCGAGACCAGCCTGGCCAACATGGTGAAACCCTGTCTCTAGTAAAAATACAAAATTAGCTGGGTGTGATGGCACACACCTGTAATCCCAGCTACTCTGGAGGCTGAGGCAGGAGAATCGCTTGAACCCGGAAGGCAGAGGTTGCAGTGAGCTGAGATGGTGCCGCCGCACTCCAGCCTGGGCAACGAGAGAAATTCCATTTCAAAAAATATTAATAATAAAATAAAATCATCACCAATGGTGATTATATAGAAGGTGGGAAGGGTTAAATGAGAAAGTATGTAAAGTGCTTGGCATGGTGCCTGGCATGTGGCACAGTAGGGATATATGTGAATTGGCTGTGTCAAGATCAATTAAAAATGCAAAGATGAGTCTCTAAATCATTTTATTTGGGAAAACAGAATTGCAGTTCAGGGCATACACACAGACTGGGGTGGTCTTCAGAACAACAAAGAGATGGTTGGAGGTTTCATTAGAGAAATGTTATGTATTACCTTGAAAGATAGCTCATTGACCCTAAGCAAAGTTTTTAGGAACAGGCAAGCTCTAATTTGTGAGAGAAGGTGGTAAGTAAAACTAGTCTTAGAGTTACAGCAATTCGTTTCAGCAGCTACTGGGTGAAACTGGTCTTCAGGTTATAGCAGGTCACCTTGGCAGCTGGCTTTCAATATAATTCCTGGGCAGGCACTTTGTGCCCCAACTGCTTTCTCTTCTCCCTCATCTCTGGACTCTAATTTAGCTGGGTATGAAGATTACTCCAATTCATACAATCAATTTTCAAGACTGCTGTTCACTGAATGGTGACAGCAATATGGGTGCCTTCAACTGCCCTCCATTCTGTTTTTTGATGAGCTGATAACAGAATATGTGGAAGCTTCCCTAAGAGATAACACTTTGAGACTTTTGTCAACTCTGCAGCCAGAATGAATCTAAAAATATCCCTCTGCAAAAAATCCTTCAGTGGCTCCCCATTTCTCTCAAAGGAAAAACTGAAGTGCTCACAACAGCTTACAACACTTCTCATGGTCTACCTCCTTGTACCTCAGTCTCAGCTACTATGAGTGACTCCCCTGCCTTGGGACCTTCTCATGTTCCCTCTGCCTGAAACACATTATCCTCTGCTAGCCACATGGCCCACTCACTTACCTCAGTCTCAATCAAATGTCCCCTCCCTGAGGCTACTTTCCCCACCCTACCTAAAATTGCAACACTTTACCTGAATCCCAATCCCCTGTATGCAGTTCTACCTTTTCCTTCTTTCACAGCAATGATCCCATTTTTTTTTTTTTTTTTTTTTTGAGACAGTTTTGCTCTTGTTGCCCAGGCTGGAGTGCAATGGTGCGACCTTGGCTCACTGTAACCTTCACCTCCCGGGTTCAAGCGATTCTCCTGCCTCAGCCTCTGTAGTAGCTGGGATTACAGGCCCCCGCCACTGCGCCCAGCTAATTTTTTGTATTTTTAATAGAGATGGGGTTTCACCATGTCGGCCAGGCTGGTCTCAAACTCCTGACCTCAAGTGATCCACCCGCCTCGGCCTCCCAAAGTGCTGGGATTACAGGCCTGAGCCACAGCGCCCGGCCAGCACCGATCACTTTTTAACACACTACATTACTGACTTATTTATTTTAGTTTTTATTGGATCTGTCCTCCCACCAGAACGTCAGTTTCACAAGGTTAGGGATCTTTGCTTCGGTAGCTGATGTATCCTGAGTCCATAGAACAGCGCCTGGCACACAGTAAGTGCTTAATATAGACTTCTAAACAAATGAAAAGGGCTATCACACAATGTGAACAGGTGGCCATTCGTTCTTACAGTTGCATATTTGAGTTGTGAACTGTCAGCATTATTAGTCACTGGACTCTTAGCATAACACAGATTATAGAATGGAGTTGTCAGGCAATAAAATTTTGTGGAATTTAATTGAAATAAGACTTGTAAAACTCACAGGTGTACTTCACTGTAACAGGCATCACTCCTTTCTTGTAATATTTCTGCCCTCTAGTGGTTAGCCTTTTTTGCTAAATTATTTTTTAAAAAATGCACCGTACTGCTAGTTACAGAATCAAATCTCAAGGTTGAAAGGGACTTAAAGGTCAGCGAGTCCCATGAAGTGTGGTGCGGAGAGCTAAGCTTCAGGGCATAAAAACAGCCGCATATCTTCAGAAGTGGCATCCTATCTTTCAGCTTCTAAATTTACTTTGGCAGAATAGTAATTGTCACATACCACTGGCCTCAATCCTTGCGCCTCGTTTTCTAGAGATAAGGAAATGGAGATGGAGTGAGGTTATGGCTGTAGGACAACTGTCTTCATGTTGAGAAGCCATTAAAGTGAATGTAGTAAAAATCCCATCACAGCATAATTGGTGAACATATACATTCAGATAGTTCATGGGTCAAACCACATCTCCAAAACATCTGAAGAGAGACAAACCTGGATGGTCCTGGACACTCATTTCTTCTTCATTGTGGTAATTTGGCAGAAAACTGGCTCAGCAGGTCTGTGTTAACTCAGTCAGATAGGCAGAACCACCTCATCACTGTAAATATTTACAATATTAAGGGCATGGAGATCAGTCTTTATTGGAATGTTGGTCACAGCGCATGTAAACCTCTATGCCTGGTCTAAGCTGAGGGATAATTCGATTCCAGGGATGGCATGCACTCTACTACTTTCTGCTTGTATGTTTTTCCTCTAGTAAACCCAAGCTTATACCTGTATCACTTAACACAGTGGTGTGTTTTCATGGCCCTTCCTGAGCATGCATAACTGTACCCCAGAAATATGCTGTTACAGAGAGGAGACATTGGTTCACCTGTCAAAACGGGTGGCATATGTCTTACGTACATGTGATTATAGACTTCCAATACTGTCCTGGTATATAGAAACCTCTGGCTACAGCCATAGGTTTCCTAGTGCGTATGGGGTCATTTAACAAATAATGATTCCGTTAACCACTGATACTTGTCTGACCTCGGCCCTGTCTTCTCTTTTGCATGAATCTTTGATAGTTCTAGTGTCAAAACAGTAGGTACAGTCAGCGGGGTAGAAAAGCAAACTCTATTTTCAGTGAAACTAGAAAATAATATGTCAAGTAGGTGGAGAAGTTTCCAAAAGCAGTGGAAACCAAGCAGGGCACGTGTAGGAAAAGGCAGAGAACGAGAGAGAGGTCCAAAGCTACAGATCTCAGAAATAGCCAGCAAAACACACACTTCTCAAAGGTGAGGGGTTTACCTTGAGAAGCAATATGTATTTCTGTTGTGTGCCATCTTGGGAATAGAACAACCAGGCTGGTGACAAGGGCATCTCACAACCAAGTTAGATTCTGTGATGCAAAAAACAGGTCACTCTTCTAAAGATAACAATGATCAAATCTGGACGAAATATAAAAAACAAGTACTTGCAGGTGTTTTAGTGTAACCGAGAGCAGGTGGATTCTTGTGGGGTGTTGAGCTTTGGAAGAATGGAACAGCACCAGGTAAGCTTCCCATTTTCAAAGCCACTGGTGGGCTCACCCCTTGGCCCTGGGGGTGTGGTGGTTGTTTGCAGGGGCTGTGCCTGAAGCATGGGCCTGCGGTCTGGGGTACCTGTACACATGCACAGGAACTCCCAATCATGGAGGTGGAGGCAAGAGGAGAAGGAGGGCGATGGAACTGGTAGAAAGTGAACAGTTTCCGTATTCCCTTCTCTTCTGTATTGTGGAACGGTATGTATAGATTGGTATTGTCTCTTCCTTGAATGTTTGGTAGAATACACCAATGAAACTATCTGGGTCTAGAGTTTTCTTTGTGAGAAGGTTTTAAACTTTACATGCAATTTCTTCAATAGATAGAGGCTATTCAGGAGATCTGTTTCTTCTTTATTAAGATTTGGTAGTTTAGGGCTGGGCGCGGTGGCTCACGCTTGTAATCCTAGCATTTTGGGAGGCCGAGGTTGTTGGATCACTTGAGATCAGGAGTTCGAGACCAGCCTGGCCAACATGGTGAAACCCCGTCTATACTAAAAATTTAAAAAGTTAGCCAGGCATGGTGGCAGTTGCCTGTAATCCCAGCTACTCAGGAGGCTGAGGTGGGAGAATTGCTTGAACCCGGGAGACGGAGGTTGCAGTGAGCTGAGATGGCACCATTGCCCTCCAGCCTGGGCGACGAGAGCAAAACTCCATCTCAAAAAAAAAAAAAAAAAAAAAAAGATTTGGTAGTTTAGGTCTCTGAAGAAATGTTTCTATTTCATTTAAGTTTTTAAAAGTATTACATTAAATTCAGGAACACAATACATTGTTATTAACTTTAGTCACCATTATGGACAATAGAACTCTTAAACTTATTCCTGCTGTCTAAAATTTTTTACCCTTTGACCAACATCTCTCTAACACCTACCCACCCCAGCCCCTAATAACCTCCATTCTGCTCACTGCTTCTATTAGTTCAATGTTTTGAGATTCCACATATAAATGAGATCATGCAATATTTCTCTTTCTGGGCCTGGCTTATTTCACTCAACATAATAAGTCCTCCAGGTTTATCCATGTTACTGCAAATGGCAGGATTTCCTTCTTTTTAAAGGCTGTACATATATGTACCACATTTTCTTTACCCATGAATATACCCATGATTGGGATATTTCTCACACTGTGAGCTTAGGAAAACTTCATTCCTAAACAGTGGTTGGGATTGTGCCTCCACCAACTGACAGTAGATGTTTATCCATTAATCTCTTGCTGTACACTTGAGTTGTTTCATGCATTGGCTATTGTAATTAATGCTGCAATGGAGATAGGAGTGCAGACAGCTCTTCAGCATACTGGTTTCCATTTCTGTGGATATATACCCAGTAGTGGATTGCTGGGTCATATGATAGTAGAAAAAATTTTAAGAAGAAATATGCCCAAGTAACAATGCATTTGATAAGCGCAACCCAGGTAAGACACAAGAAATGTCATAGAAGTTAAGGTACTCCCTGGAGTGTTTAGAGAAGGCACTATATAGGAAATAGCATTTGAGCTGTGCAGTGAATAATTTTTATAGAAAAGAGTGCCTTTTCAACACAAGAAAGAGCAATCACTAAAACGCAAAGGCAGGAAATGACAATGTGTATGTGGATGATGGGAGCCAGCCTGGCAGCTGTGTTGGGGTCATGAGAGATAAGGCTTGGAGCTGGCAGGGTGGGTTGCAGGAGGCCCAAGGAGCGTGGGCCAAGCATGGGCTGTGGAGAGATGACTCAGAGCAGAGAGAGCCTTTGAACAATGGATTTCCATGACCTGTAAAAGGGAGAGGCTTGGAGGCAGGAGTGCCTCTCTCGAGGTGCTAAAAGCTTTTGCAGAGGGTGGGAGGGGTTGGTTTGAGCCACTGAGAGGACTTGAAAAAAGAGAGGTCACAGCTACTGGGGGCCTTAAGTCTCTGGGAAACTGGGGTACAGAAAACCAAAATGAGAAAGTCAGAGAAGAGTAGCTTTGAGAATTGGCCATGCCGGGCGCGGTGGCTCATGCCTGTTATCCCAGCACTTTGGGAGGCCAAGGCGGGCGGATCACAAGGTCAGGAGATCGAGACCATCCCGGCTAAAATGGTGAAACCCTGTTTCTACTAAAAATACAAAAAATTAGCCGGGCGTGGTGGCGGGTGCCTGTAGTCCCAGCTACTTGGGAGTCTGAGGCAGGAGAATGGTGTGAACCTGGGAGGCGGAGCTTGCAGTGAGCAGAGATCGCGCCACTGCATTCCAGCCTGGGCGACAGAGCGAGACTCCGTCTCAAAAAAAAAAAAAAAAAAAGGAGAGAATTGGCCATGTTCAGAAGCCTGCTTGAGGTAACATAGAGCAACGTTTGATGTCCAGGCATAGTGGCTCATCCCAGCATGCTTTGGGAGGCCAAGGTGGGAGGATCACTTGAAGCCAGGAGTTTGAGATCAGCCTGAACAACAGAGACTCTGTCTCTACAAAAAATAAAAAATTTAGCTGGGTATGGTGGTTGGTTACATGGCTGTAGTCCCAGCTGCTTGGGAGGCTGAGGCAGGAGGATTGCTTGAGCCCAGGAGTTCCAGGTTACAGTGAGCTATGCTTGTGCCACTAACACTTCAGCCTGGGTGACAAAACAAGACTGTCTGTAAAATAATAATAGAATTTTTTTTAAAGGAAAATAAAAAATATTCCATGAAAATGTCCAGAAATAGTTATAGATTATAAAAATGCAGTGCTATTATGTTAAAGTCACTGTGAAAAATGAATTCTGGGATATTCAATGAAATCCTAAACAAAGTCCATACAGGTTGAGCACCCCTAATCTGAAAATTGGAAATCTGAAATGCTACAAAATCCAAAACTTTTTGAGCACTGACATGATGTCACCAGTGGAAAATATTACACCTGACCTCATGCAATGGGTTGCAGTCAAAACATAGCCAAAACTTTGTTTCATGCACAAAATTATTTAAAATATTATATAAAATTACCTTCAGGCTATGTGGACAAGGTGTATATGAAACATAAATGAATTTCATGTTTAGACTTGGGTCTCATCCCCAAGATAACTCACTGTGTATACACAAATAATCCAAAATCTTAAAAAATCCCAAATCCAAGACACACTTTGTCGCAAGCATTTTAGATACGGGATACTCAACCTATATTGCTAATTCCCCCCAGATGAGGTTAGATTTTGCTGGTCTTGTGGCAGAAACTCGGCTTGGTGTAATTCTCAATGGCAGCAGCAGAGGGCAGCAGCAGTAGACGGTTGGGATACTCCTCACACCGAGTTAAGGGAAACTTCATTCCTTTATGAGGTTTGGGATTCTGCCTCCACCCACTGACGGTAGATGTTTCCAGATGCTGGGGAAGAGACGACTGGCCCTGGCTTGCCAAGTAAACCGCAGTTTCATCTACACCTTCCAGATGGAAATACTGAGCAAAGCAACAGGGATCGCCTTATTCCACGAAGCAAAAAGAATAATAATAGGCCTAGCACGGTGGCTCACGCCTGTAATCCTAGCACTTTGGGAGGCCGAGGCGGGCGGATTGTCTGAGGTCAGGAGTTCGAGATCAACCTGGGCAACACGGTGAAACCCCGTCTCTACTAAAAATGCAAAAAATTCGCCGGGCATAGCGGCGTATGCCTGTAGTCCCAGCTGCTCAGGAGGCTGAGGCAGGAGAATTGCTTGAACCCAGGAGGCGGAGGTTGCAGTGAGCTGACATGGTGCCACTGCACTCCAGCCTGGGTGACAGAGCGAGACTTGTCTCCAGAAAAAAAAAAAAGAAGAAGAATTAAAGGCATTGAGTGCCTATTCTTCTAAGAGCTGCATGCATATTATGCCATTTAATTGTCTTAAGAATCTGGCATTATTATTACCATCCACATTTTATTGTAAATGAGTTTAAGTGGAAGCAACTTATAAATGGTTGCTATCTGGCTCCTGAGTCCATTGGTTTAATTAACCCTTCCACTGTATTACCTGTCTACAAAGTTTTGTTATTCGAGTGTGTATACGTGCACACATGCTCTCTGGTGCACAGAGAGTTTTTGTTAGCTTATTTAGATTTTGGGGAAAGGTGAAGAATTTATGCGTGTTTTCATCTCTTCTTTTTTTTTTTTTTTTTGAGACAGATCCTCGCTCTGTCGCCCAGGCTGGATTGCAATGGTGCAATCTTGGCTGACTGCAACCTCTGCCTCCCAGGTTCAAGTTATTCTCCTGTCTCAGCCTCCTGAGTAGCTGGGATTACAGCTGCCCGCCACCATGCCCAGCTAATTTTTGTATTTTTAGTAGAGACAGAGTTTCACCATGTTGGCCAGGCTTGTCTTGAACTCCTGACCTCAGGTGATCCACCCGCCTCAGCCTCCCAAAGTGCTGGGATTACAGTCACGAGCCACTGCACCCAGTCTTCATCTCTTCTTTTAAACCAAAACACTGTAAGGCGTGAACAACATACTTTGCTGGAGCAGTGCTCTTTCAAGTGCGGTCCCCTCTCTGGTGCTGTCCATGAGCTGTTGGTCAGGGGCCTGTGAGATAAGTACAGAAATCGAGAGCATTTAGATACTTTGATAGCAGTTTGACAGATTCATTTTATGTCTGTTGAATCTCATTATGAGCTTGTATTTTATATGTCTTTTTCATTTGGTTTTTCTAGTAACTTGTGGCTAGTTCCTTGCCCACAGGATTGCTCAAGAAGCACTGCAGTTGAGTTTATAACACACATGTAAAAGTCTAGAGGATTTTAGATAGTTCCTTTCACAGGGGAAACGAAACCCAGCACAATTATTAAGACATGGAGGGTTGCTCCTCTAAATCCTCCAACAGCTTCACTGATTGTCAAGATTAAAATACAATAAAGAGGGAGAAAGTGGCAGAGAGGGAGGAATGGGAGAAGAGGAACTTGAGGAGGGACAGTCTTGACAACTCTCGCGGGAGGACTTGGGCTACGTCACTGCGATGAGTACAGGAAAAGCACAAAATTAAAAAGAAGCAAATGGAATAAGGAATACTTTTTCTAAAAGAAAACCAAAACAAAACCCTGCTCTTAGATATGACTGCTGCACCTTTTGCATACACATTTGATACAGCAAATGATCCTGAAGTCCCTGTACTAGGCCAGGCTTCCACATTGATTTATTCCATTCACTCATACAAATCAATACTTGATTTTCAACAAGCTGCAAGTCAGAAGTCGCCATTGAGGGTGGGGTGAGGTGGCTCACACCTGTAATCCCAGCATTTGGGAAGCCAAGGCAGGCAGATTACTTGAGCTCAGGAGTTCAAGACCAGCCTGGGCAACATAGAGAAACCCAGTCTCTACAAAAAATACAAAAAATTGCCTGGGCATGGTGGCGCACACCTGTGGTCCCAGCTATTCAGGAGGCTGAGATGGGAGGATTGCTTGAGCCCAGGAGGCCAAGGCTGCAATAAGCTGTGGTTGTGCCATTGCACTCCAACTTGGGCAACAGAGTGACACCCTGTCTCAAAGAAACAAAAAAAAGTCACAATTTAGGAATAAGAAGAAAAAAAGTTCTTTTAGGAGAAGTAGCATGTCTTAGGGAAAAACAAAAATCAAAACAATAAAGGAACTTGTCACGGCAAATGAAAAATTTTAAAATGGGAGGGAGAGTTTGTTAGAGTGAAGGAGTCAGGGGAAGCAGCATTGTTTGTTCATGTGCAGGCGCGCGCTTTCTCTGAAGATATAAACTGAAAAATGACTGGCTCGGTTTTGACTCTGGAGTACTTCCTTAGTGCACAGAGATAAAGGAGATGTCCAACTATATAATATGATTTGCCAGGCAGTCTTACCCAGTTGCCCCAAATCTTTCTTCCCTGCCCCTCCTCTGTATTTAATACCATTTCCTTGGCTTAAGGCTCTCTCCACTATTAAAAAGCCAAAGGAAGGAGTAATACATTCAACCAAATGGATCATTTGGTATGAGTTTACCAGATCCTCTCCAGAGAGCTTGATTTGATAAGAAGGATAGAGGGGACTGGAGGGGGCTCTGGACATTCCTTCTTCAGCAAACATTTGAGTCCCTACATGCCAAGCACTGGGAACTCACGCCCCCACCCTCAAGGAGCTTGTGATCTACTGAAAGAGACGTGAGTGAATCCAGAAAACCATGCGGAGATCCAGCGCTTTTGTGTGCACAGTAGGTGGTTACATAAGGGTTAGAGAAGAATGCATTCAGACTGTGAGAGGTAGTAGAATATGAGAAAGAATTAACTCGCTAATGCATACATGGGGGATTTCAGAGCAATGGGAAGCCATTGCTCAGATAATGCCAGGAGGTGGTACAACTGGAATAAAAATAGGAACCTGAGACCCTGCACACCAGCCAGTCTTGGGGGTGTGGACACGAAGCCCGGGATGATGTCAGGCTGTTCTGATTTGGTTCCCATTGGAGCCTATTAAGACTGATTAAGGACTGTTCACTTTGGAAAATCACATTTTGACTTCTATCCCTTCACAATTCAGCTCAAAACCAATGCTTAATTCAAGTTCAAGTCAGACTTAGCTCCCTCCAAATTAGTCATTGTCATTTTCATGACATAAAACTGCATTTTGGCAACAGGGCACAGACACATTCCACCTCCTCAATGTGCTAGTTAAGCAAAATACTAACTTCTCAATGCCTCATTTGTCTTTTCTGTAGAATGGGCATATTGGCACTACTTGCCTCACAAGGTTATCATGAGGATTAAAATAAATAAACCCATAAAGCACCTATGATTACTTTGATTGCTAATCCACGGCCGATGGTTTGATGACCTGAGGGGCTGTTGGGGTGGGAAGGCCTCTTCTCTCACTGCGCATAAGAAGGGCTGGGATGAGAGGGTTGAAGGGAAGAAGTAGCATGTGAACACCTGAATGGGTCTGCAGAGAGAGCTTGGAGCCACTGACAGAGGGACGGAACAAAGGTGCTCCCAGATCAGAAGCAGGCACTTGAGAAGAGGCTTCAGTAGAAGCACAAGCTTTTAACAGGAAGAGAAAGCAAATTTCTTCAGGCGTATAGGAAGCTGGCAGGAGGTGTGGCCACGGAACACCGTCCTCTGTTGAGGATGCAGAGCTAGATCTTCAATATTCACCTAATGTTTCTCGAGCTCCCACTATGTTCCAGGGGCTTTTCTAAGTGCTTGGGTATGTCCAAATGCATACATAAAACATCCCTACCCTATGGAGGATAGGGATATATAGTCTAGTGGGGCAAACAGGCAACAGACAATGGATATAATAAATAAGGACATTTATTTTTCAGAAAGAAAAGAGTTGACAAGGGAAATGCTGATTGGGTATTTGGGGGTGAGGTTGCATGTCTATTTATTTCAGGAATGACAAGGGGACCAGTATTGAACTGGAGCCACAAAAGGACAGAGTAGACGTGTGGTGGCAGAAGGGTTACAGGGTGGGAGAGAGAAGTTAGATCACTTTGGTCACTGTGAGCACTTTGGCCTTTTCTTTAAGTGAAATGTGGAGTTTTAAGCAGAGAATTGATATAATATGACTCATATTTTCAAAGAACTGCATTTGTTACTATGTTGAAAATAGATGTCAGGGCACATGGGAAGAAACAGAGACAGAGAGGTATTCCTGCAATTCAAGCAAGGGATCATGACGATGACCAGGACCAGGGGGACAGCAGTGGGTGGAGTGACAAGTAGTGGGATTATAGATATATGTTTAAGGTAGAGCCAATAGGCGTTCCCCACAATTTACAGGTGGGGTGTGAGAGAAGATGGGAGTCAACTGTGACCTCTTTTATCGAACCTAAGCAGCCAGAAGAACGGGGAAAGGTGTACATAGAGCAGGCATGGACTTGGTGCTTCTGAGATTATAAGACATCCAGTAGAAATGTCAAGTAGATGGCTGGTCCCAACTCTGGAGTACACCAGTTATCAATTAACTGCCTCTCACCTCCAGATCCACCTTTCATTATCTGGTCTGTGGAAATGGAGCTGGGCCATGTAAATATCTTGACTTTGCCCTCTGGAATGATGTGAAAGTTTCTCAGCAGAGTGCACTGGAGGGATGCTGCAGGAGGAAAGGCTTCTCTTCCCAATCCTGGTGAATGCTTCGTGGCAGGCCCCTACAGTGTGCATAGTGTGTGCAGCACCCAAGTCCTACAGTGAGCTGCAGCCACTACCTGGCAGCTGGCAGCATAAGACACCTCTTATGGTTGGCTTCCCTCCATACCTTTGCAGCAAGTTCCGAAGCACAGCACCAATCAGCAGACTTTGCAGCAAGTTCCAAGGTGTAGCACCAACCAACAGGCAGCTCCCCCAGCACCAGAGAGGGCCGATTCTCAGTAACATCAGTGTAGCAGCTCAGCAAACCTTTCCACCTTCCCATGAGCCACAGCTGCACCCTTTCCAATAAGGTCTGGATTTCAGCCCTAGAGTATGAGTGGAGGTCCTCCTCTTCCAGATTTGTTCTCTTCTTGAACACTCTATCTCAGCCTTATAGATGGCAGAAGCTCCCTTTATCTATTTATGTATCCTTTGGCATTTTCTTTACCGATTGCTAGCCCATCATCCATTACTCCAGTCCCCCATTATAATTATATTAAACTGTTCCTGTGCAAACTACTCTGTGGCTTTTGCCTCCTGAGTGGACCCTGGCTGATATCTGGGGTTCAGCAGAGAGCTTCAGACAGAATGTATATCCTTGGGAGCTGTCAGCAAATAAAGGCGTGTGGAGCCATGAGATTACTAATGGAGTGGACAGATGGAGGAGGAGAAAAAATAGACGCCAACATTAAAAGATCAGGGAGAAAATGAGGAATTTGCATAAATGACAGGGAAGGGGCCACCGTAAGGTAGGAGGAAAATCAAGAGATTTTTCTGGCAACCAAGTTTAAAAAGTGTATCAGGGAGGGAGTGATCCACCATGTCAAAGTTTGCTGATATATCAAGTAAAAGTTCTGAGAGATGACAATGGGACGTCATTGTGACCTTGACAAGATCAGTGAGGAAGAAGACCGATGGAGATGTTTTTAAGAGAGAATGGAAAGGGAAGAATTGAGACAGAGACCTTCAGAAATTCTTTTGAGAAGTTTTGTTGCAAAGAAAAGCAAATAAATGGGTAGTAGCTGGGTATGGGGGGCATTAGGAGGTAGTGCCAAGAGGAAGAAGCAGCACGTTTCTGAGATTATGAAAATGGTCTGGTAGCGAAGGAATAATTGCTGATTTGGCAAGAAGGGGGAGAAATGCTGGAGCCTCATTTTTGAATAGAGGATGGTTGGCCTAGAGTCAGGAGTGCAAGTGAAGGGATGATACACAGGGCCTTCGAGGTCTCCCCAAGGGCCAGATTGAAACAACCAAAGAAAAAGTTGGGCTTATCCATAGGTGGAGACAGCCTAGACAAAGGGAAGTGTGACTTGGGAATGGAGCAGAATTGCCAGGAAGCCATGCCCTCCAAGCCAACTACAGCTACTGACCAGGCAGCTTAGCCAAGGAGAGCATGCCCTGTGAGTGCCCGTCTTCATGCTTTGGTGAACAGGGAGAGAATGAGACCTAGAGAATGAAGACTTGGAGAATGAGTACGGACTCCAGAACAGATCACTGGGATTGAATTGCAACTCTGCTCTCACAAGCTCTATGACAAAGGATAAAAACAATACAAAACAAAACAAAAACTTAATTTCTTTCTATTTCACTTATAAAGAATGATCTTGATAATTATTATACATGCACCACAGGCCGTTGTGAGGATTAAATGAGTTAAGTATCTAAAACATGTACAACAGTAGCTGACACTATATAAATAATGAGCACTAGATCATACCAGTTAGTATTTTTAATGTTGCTTTTCCCTTAGTTTTAGTTTCCTTTTTCTTTGTTTTTTGTTTGTTTGTTTTTTGTTTTTTTTTTTGAGATGGAGTCTTGCTCTTGTCGCTCAGGCTGGAGTGCAGTGGTGCGATCTTGGCTCACTGCAACCTCTGCTTCCCGGGTTCAAGCGATTCTCCTGCCTCAGCCTCCTGACTAGCTGGGATTACAGGTTTGCACCAAGATACTCGGCTAATTTTTGTATTTTTAGGAGAGATGGGGTTTCATCATGTTGGCCAGGCTGATCTCGAACTCCTGACCTCAAGTGATCCACCCGCCTTGGCCTCCGAAAGTGCTGGGATTACAGGCGTGAGCCACTGCACCCGGCCTAGTTTCCTTTTTCAAAAATGTCTTATTTGAATTAAAAAAAAAATTTTTGTAAGAGGGATATATCCATTTCTATTCTAGGATTGCTGAAGTTGGGTCTTTAGGGAGTGATCTAAATGGAAAGTCAAGTATGGTAGCAACTGAGAACGTGGAAGTTTAGGTCAAAGTGGCCCAGAGTGGGGAAACCTCTCATGGGTATAATAGGGTGACATGGTTTGGATCTGTGTCCCCACCCAAATCTCATATCGAATTGTAACCCGCAGTGTTGGAGGTGGGGGCCTGGTGGGAGGTGACTAGATCATGGGGGCAGTTTCTCATGAATGGGTTACACCATCCCCTCGATGCTGTTCTCATGATAGTGAGTGAGTGAATTATCGTGAGATCTGGCTGTTTAAAAGTGTGTAGCACTTCCCCACTCCCTCTCTTCCTCCTACCCCAGGCTTCTGAGGTGCCTCGCTCCCCCTTTGCCTTCCTCATGGTTGAAGGCTTCCTGAGGCCTCCCCAGAAGCAGATGCCTGTATGCCTCCTGTACAGCCTGCAGAACCGTGAGCCAAGTCAGCCTCTTTTCTCAGCCTCCCCTGCAGGTCGTCGTGACCACGAGACTAAGTCTTGGTCAAAGGATGGGAAAGGGATGTTTTATGTGAAACTTTGGGGTCATACTCTTCAAGGGAAGGGACACTCCCTTCTTTTTCCTGATGGCTAGAATACAATCACAGGGGTGAGCCATTCAGAACCATCCAGACAAAGATGACTCCATAGGAAAAATGGGACAACCAGATAGGTAAGTCCAACCCCCGGCAGCTCGTCAGAACAGCCGCCATTCTAGCTTCTCCTGCTGCATGAAGGAGAAGGAGACCTGTATCTTGATTACGTTTCTATTACTTTGAGACTCTGTTTTATGCAACCAAACTTATATCCAAAAAAAATTGATTTCCATAAAAATATCCCTGCAGGACCACTTATTTGAATGCCATGAAACCCCTAGAACAGAGATGTGAGCAGATGTAAACGTGCCAATCTTACGTTCATAGGAAAGTGCAGCTGCAGAGGGCAGAGAGCCCAGCTCTTTGCCAATTAAGAAAAACAGACTTCATGAGAGGCCCTGCTGCCCCAATCCTGGGCACCTTTGGCCTTCTGGTCCTGTTACGTTCATTCTTGATCTTATCCTCCTCTCCCTTCTTCATTGAGAAACGTATACTTTCTTCGTTGTTCTACTCAAGCCTAAACCATCTTGCCACCATCCCACCTTCAGAATGCCTGCAACACAATCTAGTTCCTCAGTTCTTTGTTTGTTTGTTTGTTTGAGACGGAGTCTCACTCTGTTGACAGCCTGGAGTGCAGTGATACAATCTCAGCTCACCGCAACCTCCGCCTCTTGGGTTCAAGTGATTCTCCTGTCTCAGCCTCCCTAGTAGCTGGGACTACAGGTGTGTGTCACCACGCCCAGCTAATTTTTTGTATTTTTAGTAGAGACAGGGTTTCACCATGTTGGCCAGGATGGTCTCGATCGCTTGACCTCGTGATCCGCCCACCTCAGCCTCCCAAAGTGCTGGGATTACAGGCATGAGCCACCGCACCCAGCCATTCCTCAGTTCTTATACTTGACTCAATTATCCTGAGTTTAAATCAGAGGAAACTCAACTCTGGTCTCCTGAAAAACTTTCAACTCATTTCTTCCTCTGCATCTTCTCACTATTCTGGATTTGGATTCCTCTGGTGCATAGTTCCCAGAAGGGCCCCAAAATTATTTCCTAAACCAACAGACATTTTTTTTCCTAATACACGTTCGCCCTATCTTCCTCTCCCCACAAACATGTATTAGGCTCTTATTTATTCTCTTCCAGGGATCATACCATGTTCTAACCTATGCAGACACCCACCCCTGCAAGTGCAAAGCATGAATGATCATGGGAAAAACTCTTTCTTCATAGGATGGAATCAGAATTTCAACACAATATCAAGAATTAAAGTCTAATTTCAAACAGGTAGTTGGCAGGTATCCATCAAGGAAAACTAATTTAGGACTTAGAACATTTCTGGAAATCTACATGCTAGTACCCTAGCATGTACTCTTCATCCTCATTCATTTATTTCCTTTCATTAGCAGTGTTACAGACCTCAAGTAAGTTCAATAGGAAGCCAAACTGACCTGATTAATTATTTTAAACAAACAATACAAAACTACAGTTTGCATGTTGGAGATCCCAAAGAGGCTTCTTTTCTTTGGATCACTGGAGTAATTTTTCCTTGGCTGTGGTCTCTCAGGTACTACATGAAGCTCCATGTTTTTTGGCCCTTTGCCTCATCACCAGGACAATGGGAAACTCTCGAAATTGATTAGATGAGTGATGTTATAAGAAAAAGGTAAGATTGTGTCAGAATTAACTGGCATTTCACGGTGGAATCTGGCTTCCTGTTGAGATATGGGTTTAGACACCACCTCTATCATTTGCCATCTGTGCTACTCTTAGTAAGTTAGTTAACCTTTCTGAGCTTTGAATTTGAAAAAAAACAAAAAAACAAAAGGTGGGGCTGGTGGGGGCTGGTGCGTTAAACAATAGCTGCTATGGTCGTGAGGATTACATGAGGGCCTGGTCACACTTCCCTAGCCGAATAGGGCCCTATCTCAGGCCGTCTCTGCATAAACCATGCTCTTGCCCACATTTCCCCGCTCTGTAAACCGGCTCTCAAGTGAATGCCATATTGAAAAGGATCTGATAAATAAAGTATCACTCAGGCAACATCAATAAGCTGCTTTCTCCTGAGATATTTGTGCTTCAGCATGGATATGTCATTAATCAGTAGGGTGGAGTTTCAGGTATGAATGACAGAATGGAAGAGAGGAATACTGTGCTTGGGAAGTGCCAGAACCATCGAATCATACCAGCTGGACCAGTTTATTTCACTGTGATGCAGGTTCTACTCATTGTAGAATTGTACACTGAGGTTGACACCTAAGTAACTTTGAAAAGGGTGCCTTAGGATGCACATATTATAAAACCAAAAGGATGGAGAAGTTGTCTTGAAGGTACTGTGTCTGCTCACGGTGTAACAACGGTTACAATTTAAAATTCCCCCTCAATTAGAAAAAAAAGTGAAACAAAGACCCAACCAAAAAATTAAACAGTATACAAAAATCCCTTTAGTCATAATGGCCGTAGAAACTCTAAGAATTAGTGTGTGGCATCTGCACATCTAAACATTTCTCTATAGTCTTGGGAAACTTCCACATGGCATGAGGGGACAACAGACCTGGGATCCGGAATATGCATACATCTTGCCAGTAGCAAGGGAAGGATCTGGAAAAGAGAATAAAAGGCTCTCAGCTTGATCAGAACACACCTAATCCCCTGTGGATAAAAAGCATGACTGTCATTCTTGGCCAACTGCACTTGAGTCTCCCAAATTCAGGCTGGGAAAAGGACTAGAACTTGTACAGCCCAGTGCCTGTTGAAGCCCTTTCCTACACCTCTCCTCCAGAGAAGGGATGGGTGTTCCCTGATTACAGAAATGGAGTCCAGAGTGGGCAGAAGAATTGAAGTTGGGACACCAGCATGTGGAACCCATCCCTGCCTCTCCGTGGCAACCTGGACCATGGGAAGGCTTGGCCGTGTCCTCTAGCCAAATTCCTGGGGTCCTTATATAGTTTTTTTCTCTCTGTGAAGAGATTCCTAGAAATTACAGGTTTACTTGACTTTTAACATAGTATTGAGGACACACTATCAGCTTCAAACAACTTACCATCTTCTCTTAGCCTTCTAATCCCATTACTTCCTCCGGTGGGGCTATAGGAGGGAGGGGAATATAAAACTATTTTGTTTTCAGGGAAGAAAGTGAATATGCAAAAAAAAAATTTTTTTTTTTTTTTTTTTATTTAAGCAACTGATTCAGGAAACACTTGACCTATTCACCTTCTCCTTCCTGGAACACTTGACTTGTTTTTCATAGGAGTCTTCGTGTTAGTAGGGTTGGATGGATGAGCTCCGTGAAGATAGTCACAGGCTGATTATTGTAGTCTTTGCAGGGCCAAAAAGAAAAGCAAAGAGGAGCTGGGCGCAGTGGCTCACGCCTGTAATTGCAGCACTTTGGGAGGCTGAGGTGGGCGGATCACTTGAGGTCAGGAGTTCGAGACCAGCCTGGCCAACATGGCGAAACACGATCTCTACTAAAAATACAAAATTAGCCTGGCGTGGTGGTGGGCACCTGTAATCCCAGCTACTCGGGAGGCTGAGGCAGGAGGATCACTTGAACCTGGGAGGTGGAGGTTGCAGTGAGCCAAGATCACACCACTGCACTTCTGCCTGTTTGACAGAGTGAGACTCCGCCTCAAAAAAAATAAAAGGAAAGTGAAGAGGAGTCAGGAGGAAGGGTGGGTAGCTAAGTGGCAGTGAGAAGGACGAGGATGTCTGTGAACATGGAGGGTGGCAGTCGGGGGCACACTGAGCGTGGAAGTCTCTCTCCTGAGCAGCTGCAGAGTGCCCATTGGAACATTCTAGGGCACGGAGCAGGAGTACAAACATACCACTGTCATGGCTTCCTTCTTGGCATCTGGGTGCTGAGTGCCAGTCTCTTTTAGGCTTGGCCCATATTTGTGAATACTGGAAAAAACACAAAATGGACTGGCTCACAATATCTTCTGCTCATCCTGAAGGATGAAAACTCAATATTAGCAATTCTATGCTGAAGACAAGTTCAGACCCTTCAGAAGCTCTTAGAACCAAAGATTTATTTTTTTCCTGGAAAAGACCTTAAGAGACTATCCAATAAATGTTAATATAATTCCTATTTTGTAAAGGAAGCCACTGAGGCCTAGAAAGATTAGATGATTTAATTTTCCCAAAGGTTTGCAGCCAGTGAGGGGTCGGGTTAGAAATCCAAGTCTCTCCCTGAACCTGGCAATGCTGTGTCCTACATTTTGTTACCTCTCTGGCTGACGAGTGATCATGATGAATTGCAAAAAATAAATTACTTCTGTGCTGGGAGGAGGTGGTGAGGAACAAATGGGTGGTTACTCGCAAGGCTGCCAAACTCTGCCTGGAGAAGCTTGTGAGTGGTTTTTTGTTTGTTTGTTTGTTTGTTTTGAGACGGAGTTTCGCTCTTGTAGCCCAGTCTAGAGTGCAATGGTGTGATCTCAGCTCACTGCAACCTCTGCCTCCAGGGTTCAAGAAATTCCCCTGCCTCAGCTTCCAGAATAGCTTGGACTACAGGCATACACCACCACACCCATCTAATTTTTGTATTTTTAGTAGAGACGGTGTTTCACCATGTTGGCCTGGCTGGTCTCCAACTCCTGACCTCAGGTGATCCACCCACCTCAGCCTCCTAAAGTGCTGGGATTACAGGCTTGGGCCACCGCGCCTGGCTGTGAATGGTTCTTAAAGCCCTATCTGAACATTAGAATCACCTGAAGAGCTGTGACCCAGCAGATGAATTCAATCAGAACCTCTAGGTGTGAGGTCAGGGTATCTATACTTTATAAAAGCTCCCCAGGTGATCCTAAGATGCAGCCAGGGCTGAGAGCCACTGTTCTAAAACTGTGACTCTTTTTTTTTTTTTTAATTAGAGATGGGGTCTCAATATGTTTACCAGGCTGGTCTTGAACTCCTGGCCTGAAGTGATCCTCCCATCTCAGCCTCCCAAAGTGCCAGGATTCCAGGCATGAGCCACCACGCCCAGCCTAAAACTGTGATTCTTGTAAGGCAGCAGTCCCCAACCTTTTTGGCTTCAGGAATGGGTTTCATGGAAGACAATTTTTCCATGGACCAGGGGTCAGGGGGCATGGTTTCAGGATGATTCAAGTGCATTACACTTATTGTGCACTTTATTTCTATTATTATTACATTGTAATATATAATGAAATCATAATACAACTCACCATAAGGTAGAATCAGTAGGAGCCCTGAGCTTCTTTTCCTGCAACTAGATGGTCCCATCTGGGGGTGATGGGAGACAGTGACAGATCATCAGGCATTAGATTCTCATAAAAAGCATGCACCTAGATCCCTCACATGCACAGTTCACAATAGGGTTTGCACTCCTGTGAGAGTATAATGCCAGTACCCGTCCATGGCCTGGAGGTTGCGGACCCCTGTGATAAGGGACAGGTGGAGGGCAAACAAAGCCTCACCTAGAGCCGTGGCCCCAGTGAGCATGCGTTAGACTCAGCTGGGGGGCTTGCTGGATCCAGCCTCAGATTCGACACGTCTGGGGTGGGACTGAGGATTTGCATTTATAACAAGTTTCCTATGTGATGCTGATGCTGCTGAGTGGGGGCCATACTTTGAGAACTGCTGACCTAGAGGTAATTTTCCACACCACACCTGTCCGGTCCCCATCCTTAAAGACTGCTGTATCACCCAGGTGAACTTGGGGTGCACAGGTGGGGAAGATGGTAGCTCTGATTGAGAATCCAAGCAAAACCGATTACGTAACACACAACTCTGATGATGGAGGGTGTGACATCTTTCAGGAGTCTCAGAGCAGACAAAAGTTGCCAGCTAGCAACCCAGAGCATGAAAACCAGAATGAGAAGCTGATATTTGTTTCCTGTGCTGAAAGTAAAGTTTCTTGAAACGCACACTAGAACTGGTTAATTTTTGGAAAACAGCCATGCCACAAGAAGGCTGTAAAGGGCCTATTTGGCACCATGGCAAGCCAGCAACCAGGAGCAAGACCTTTATCTTAGGAAACCCAGTTGCCAGGAACTCAGGGGCCTGTTTTGACCTACACAGGGCTTGTTCCCAACTCCCATACCTCAGTATAGAGCAATTGCCAGGATTTCAGCCGTAGGATGGAGTCTGAGAATGTCTGATCTCAGAGGGAAGGCAGCAGGAAAATGAAAACGCGTTGAGAGTGGCGGCCCCTAGTTCTCCAAATAGAACAGCCAGGTCTCACCACTCCCTGGATTCCAATTCTTAAAAATGAACCAGGCCTGCCAGGCAAGGCCACCATAGCTGAAAGGAATGACGTTTGAGCAGGTAAAAACCTAACCGAAGGGACGGTTCCTGAGTGCGTGGACACAGCGTTGGCAGTGCAGTGGGTGGCAGTGGTGCACGGTGACAGGCTTCAGTGAAGCGACTCTTATAGTATAGTGGCTGTTGTGTAGGAAGGAGAACATGAAGAATCTTGAATGAACCTATGAGATGAGGTCAGAGCTACACCTAAGAAAACTTCCACGAAATGATGAAATGTTGGTACGTGCAATGACCTGGGAGAAACCAGCCGGGGAGAGGAAAATCCTGGGTCTCCAATGGAGTCATCTCCCTGCCAGGCCCCAACTGATGGGACTCGGACAGACCTTAGAGCCACGCTGTGTGAATGTGGAAAATATGAAGACAGATCCGCCCAGACATTCAGTGATTCCTTAACAGGCAGATGCAAGAATTTTGCATACCACAGTAACTTGTCCAGGTCACAAAATCCTCTTTGTGAAGTGTCTGCCTGTAGCCAGGGCAATACTTCCATGGACTGCTGTGACACAGAGTTCCCGAGGTGCTGGGAGAGCCTGCCTGTGGGTTGAAGATTTGACAATGATGTCCTTGGACCAGCTTTTGTTCCCTCAGATCTGAACTGCTCCCAAGTCTGTGGATCAATGGAACGACACTAAATGGCACAGATACACCACGTCACGCAGAATTTCAGGGGATTTAACTTATCTGAACATATCACGTGTGAAAAGGCTTTTTCCGAGCCCTGTAGATGGGTCAGGGATATGGAAATGCAAGTGGAAGAAAGTACAAGGAGGCTTTAGCAGGGACGGGGAGGGTAGGTTTCCATGCAGACTTCTGCCACAGCAGGCTCTTTGGGCTGTTTGGGCCTGGGCTTGAATTGCGCTTCACAAGCCCTGGCCTGATTTCTGCAGAGCTTTTCAACACGGAGGATGAAAGGCATTCCACAGCTGAAAGGGATTCTGTCCTCCCAGAGTACTGGGGCTGTCGGTGGCACCAACAGCATAACAGCCGTCTGCCGACCCCTGACAGGCTTAGGAAGGAGCCCTTTCATACCGCTACAGCTCCGTGTTAGCGGCCGCCCGTGGAGAGGGAACTGTTTCCATGAAGAAATACAACTCGTCTTTTTGCTTTTAATTTCTCTAGAATGAGTGGACTCAGAATGGTGGCAAAAGAGGCAAAGTGAGAGTAGGCGTCTCCAAAATGTCAGGCTGGTGACTGGACCAGGGGCAGGAGGAGCAAAGCAGCTCAATTACCTGAAGAGCTTCAAAAAGTTTTTTTTTGTTTTTGTTTTTGTTTTTTTAATTGTGGTAAAATACATGTAACATAAAATTTACCATTTTACCATTTTATTTATTTATATATTTTTGGAGATAGGGTCTCTCTCTGTTGCCCAGGCTGGAGTGCAGTGGTGTGATCTTGGCTCTCTGCAACCTCCATCTCTTCGGTTCAAGCGATTCTCATGCCTCAGCCACCTGAATAGCTAGGATTATAGGTGTGTGCCACCATACCTGGCTAATTTTTAATTTTTGTAATTTTAGTAGAGATGGGCTTTCACCATGTTGACCAGGCTGGTCTTGAACTCCTGGCCTCATGTGACTGCACGCCTTGGCCTCCCAAAGTGCTGGGATTACAAGTGTGAGCCACCATGCCCGGCCGAATACATATTTTAAATTATAATTTTTTAATGCAGATTTCATTCAGTAAAGCCATTGAAAAAGAATGAGATTGTTCTGTGCTGATGTGGAGAGATGTTAAAAATCCTTATTTTTTAAAAAAAGGATTTTTTTTAAAAAAATATACGTATATACGTGTATACATAGAGATACACGTATATACGTGTATACATAGAGATACACGTATATACGTGTATACATATAGATACACACACATACATATATATATATATACACACACACACGTACATACATATTCCATTGCTTCTGTCCCTCTAAAGAACCCTGACTAATACACCCTCTCACAGTGTAATGACCTTTGCCAGGTTATGCCACAGCAAGAAGACTCTCACCAGATGCCAGTGCCATGCTGTTGGACTTCCCAGCCTCCAGAACTGTAAGAAATGAATCTCTGTTCTTTATAAATTACCCAGCCTCAGGTATTCAGTTACAGTAACACAAAACAGACTAAGAAATGTATCTTTGGCAATCTGGTGAAGCTAATGACCAATTTTGGGAATAATGGCCCCCCTCCCTGCCCAATAAGGTTTTTTTAAAAGAAATTATTTTTATTACTATTATTTTTGAGACAGGGTCTTGCTTTTTCACCTAGGCTGGAGTGCAGTGGCACGATCATAGTTTGCTGTAACCTCAAACTCCTGGGCTTGAGCAATCCTCCCACCTCCACCTTCTGAGTAGCTGGGACTATAGGCACACACCACCATGTTTGGCTAATTTTTAAATGTTTTTTATAGAGATGGGATCTGGCTATGTTGTCCAGGCTGATCTCAATCTCTTGGCCTCAAGGGATCCTCCTGTCTTGGTCTCCAATAAAGTTTTTAAGTGTGCAAAACAGTATGCATATAATTACAAAATAATAAATTATATTGATGTATCGTTCTCCAAATTTAAAAAAATTATCAATAAAACAATGTATAAGCCTTTCATTGAAGTATTAAATAACAAAAGCTGGTTGTGGTCTACTGGTTTCCATAATCTCAGAGAAGTAATGACTATAAATGCCACTTCAAGATATCGCAAAACCAATAATGAGATCTGAAAATAGATGTGAAGCCTAGGCAAGATGGTAAGACCTCGTCTCTACAAAACATTTTTAAAAACATTAGCTAGGCATGGGTCCACATTGGTAGTCCCAGCTACTTAAGAGGCTGAAGCAGCAGAGTTGCTTGAGAGCAGGAGTTTGAGGCTGCAGTGAGCTGTGTTTGCACCACTGCACTCCTACAGAGCAAGACCCTCATCTCAAAAAAAAAAAAAAGATGAAAATAGATGTGATTTCTATTGGTGATAAAGACACAGATATTGCTTACACAATTGTGATTTGTTGTCATAATCAAAGAAAATACTGAATTTCACTTAGAGTTAGTGAAAATAAAGATGCATTTTTTTCCCCACCTAAGTTCAGAGACACCCCTGCCCCCAGATTCATACTCCAGGCTGGGAGCCACTGGCATAACTGACGGATGAAAAGAAGAGAAGAATGGACACAGAGAGATTGGAGGTGGAGAATGAGAGCAGGCTTGTAAGGAATGAGATCCAGCATTAGAAGGGAGAGATGTATCTTTCCCTGTGACTTGGTTTCCCCATTCAAGGAAGAGGAAGTAGGTGGGTACAGCATATATTAGGTCATCAGGAAAGCAGGTAAGGAAGCTTTCCTCAGATGGCCTCAGAGTGAATGAATGGATGAATGAAAGCAAGAGGTTGTTTTAAGCAAGTAAGGGAGAAACCCGGATGTTACAGGAAACCTAAGGAGAGAAGTTCCGGAACTGATCTGAGGACTGAGCCAGGGAGTCCAGGAGAGCAGAGGCCAGGGGCTAGATGGAGTGGGTGAGCATCCATTTCTGCTGGCCAGGCTGGTTCACCTGGGGACTTTCTTCAGAAATTCTGTGCTGCAGGAGGAGACAGCAGATTGAAGTGACAGCCTAGTGGGTGGATTCTTTGAAAGCTGAGGAGGAGTGAGAAGCCTTGTGCGTGCGTCAAAAATAAATAAATAAATAAATAAATAAAGGCTAAATGGTAGATTTCTGAGTGGAGAGTGTGTTTGAAGGGGCCCAGGGAGGGGACTAACACATGGTGAAATGGCAGATGCTGAATCCTTGAAGACTTCAGGTTCAGGGGATTTGCAAATCGCAAACGCAACAAGAAAGGACGAGGGGATCCAAGGTGCACTCGGGGTCTTAAGGATGTTGCTCATTTAACACAATTGTTGGCATTAAAGAATTTCCAGGAAATGTCAACAGTTGGGTAGCTTTGAACAGCCCTAAAAGTGACTCAGCCAGATGGTTCCTGTAAGAATTCCTCCCTCATTCCTCCTTGTCTGCCGTCCTCCTCCTCATACAAGCTGTTTCCAGAGTGCAGATTAAGGCTTGTCAGCCAAAGAGGAACCCTACTTCAGATATCTCAGGCAACATTTACTTATCTTCACAAGCTTCCTTATTTTAAGTGCAGAGCCCTCTGACCTTTCGCTGTTTGTTCCCCTTCATCTAATTTACCCTACGTGAACTACCGCTTTTCCTGCTCCCTTCTCCTTCCCTTGCTGGTCCATTAATGCCAGCTCCTTCCTCTCTTTTTTTCTCTCCATCCTTTCTTCTCTCCTGTTTCCTCAGGGAGATGTCGAGTTTTAGCACTTCACAGCCGGAGTGATACAGAGCTGCTCTTTCCAGGCTAGCTCTGTCTTTTGCTTCATGGCAGAAACTTGAGTGTCAAGTCCGGATCCCTTGGCCTAGAACTCTGAAGAGTCAGCCTCATTTGTTAGTTCCGAGACAGACAGCTTTGGGAAGCTGAGAAAGCGCAGATCCTGGTCTTGCTCCTCTCCCTGGAGTTTCACTAGCTCTCAGGCCTGCTTGGCCTTTGCTTCTGAGGAGTCTGGAGTGATTTGCCATTCCCACAGGCGCCTCAAATAGCCTATGTCTGACTTAAATCTGATCTAGACCCTTTCATCCTTCCTACAAGGGAGTTAATGACATAGGGAATTTCAACACTGAGCCTGAACCTGTGGGGTCTGTGCACATGACCTGCACATCAGGTGCAGCCCCTCAGGCCTTCCTAGGGTCCCTCCTTCCCAGGGCATTGATGGCCAATGATGAGCAGGTCAGAGACAAAGGGGCATACATACACATGTATTCCAGACTGTTGTTCTAGGATTGAGTCCCTTCAATGAGCGAGAAATGAATTAATCTATAATTGCCCAAGAAGGCTTCTAAAAGTGACTTAATCTTTCGCTTTCATTCATGGCTGAAGAGAAGCAGTTAAGGTGATTAGAATCTGTATAAAATCAGGAAAGAAAGGTGTTTCTATAATTAGAATGACATTTTAGAGGAAGTCCAACAACCAGCTTAGGTAGTTTATCTTACAGAGTTGTGGTTGGACCACAGCAATGCTACAAAAGCTGTCACAGCTCAAGTCATCGTTCAGGAATTTACCCAGCAGATGTAGACTCAGAGATAGGATTCAAAAGGGAGCCTCAACTTGAATGCACAAGGCAAAGGATTTTGAATAGCTTCCATTTGCATCAGTTTTTTGTAGCAGTCTTGGCTTAAGTAAATTGTAACACTGCGCTTCTGGCGGTGACTTGGCATAAACTCTGTGAAGTGATGTGCCTTCTTCATCTCTATCATCTAGACTTCTTGGACAACATTCCCTGCAGGGGCCATTACTACTGCCAAATGCATAAGGGCTGGGGTGGAGGAGTGAGGGCGCCAAGCCCAGGGGATATCTAGGCAGAGGGATCTTTCCTGCTTAAGCAAAAGTTAGGTAAATAAGGGTCAATAACATGGTAGCCTATGAATTAGAGTGAGGTGAAGTTATTTTTGTTTTCATTTCTATACAGAGTTGTGCATACATCATGTATCTGTAATTCATTCTTACAGTAATTGTAAGTCATTTCATTTTTTAGATCGAGTCACCCAGGCTTGTCACAACAGGTGCTAAAAATGCACAAGATAAAAGAAGCAAGAAGTGAAACCGGAAAATGGTTCTGTGAATCAGGGAGGTGGGGTGTATAGACAGACATCAGAGGACACCCAGGTTTCTCTTCATTTCACCAGTAAAGAGCAACCTGAATGACTTACCATGCAATTATATCTGTTCTTTTTAAGCAACAGTTCAGAGACTATGAAAGCAGCGCTGATCATATCATGTGGTTTACTAGGAGGCATATAATCGCAGGTTTACAAAGCAAGAAATGGGACTAAATTGAGACAAACCAACATCACAAAGAGAATCCAAAATCCATGAAAGAAGAACTAGCTCCTAGATTTAAAATTTATATAACTGGTTAGGAGATTCGAGTTTTCATTGAGGGTTGGTTCTCAAGTCACATTGCTGAAAGAAACTTAGGGGAATGGATGCCATCGTGATGACACTTCACATTTGGGTGGATGGTGCTTTTAGTTTTGACAAAGCACTCTCCTTTTTGGCCTTATTTAGAACTGCTGTTAGATTTACTGCAGAATCATGTGGTATGAGAATGTCATATGTTCAAGACAATAATCTATGTGGATACAGGGGGTTGCTACAATGTTATCATAATAGATGGACTGAATTCTGGATGTATTTATATCAGGACCTGCTCATGAAGGAGTGAATGAGATTTCAGATTTTGCAGTATTAATTCTTATTTTTAAGTGAAGGGGAAACCATAGACCAGAAGGAACATTCATGAGCATTCTCTAAGACTCAGCAAAAGATAGAAAGGAAAGGCCAGCCCCTCCATAAAACACTCTATGTCATGCAAATTTGAAATTAGGCTGAGCTCAATCTGCGATGGTTGCCCTTAAACACTGCTAAGAAGGAAGTAAGCAAAGACGCTCTTTTAAATGGTCAGTGCTGGGCACAGTGGCTCATGCCTGTAATCCCAGCACTTTGGGAGGCTGAGGCACGCAGATCGCTTGAGTCCAGGAGTTCGAGACCAGCCTGGGCAACATGATGAAACCCCATCTCTACAAAATACAGAAAAAAAAAAATTAGCTGGGCGTGGTGGCATGTGCCTGTAATCCCAGCAACCCAAGAGCCTAAAGTGGTAGGATCGCTTGAGCCACAGGAGGTAGAGGGTGCAGTGAGCTGTGATCATGCCACTGCTCTCCAGCCTGGGTGACAGAGTAAGATCCTGTATCAAAAAAAAAAAAAAATTGTTTTTCAGTGCTTGGTGTGAAGTATTAGGTTACAGTGTTAAAATACTAGAGAATTCTAGAGAATTCTAAAATTTGCTCCCCCAATCTAAGAGCTATGTTCTCATCCTCTTGTTGTCTACACTAGCTTTGGTTGTCCACACTAGCTTTGGACACACAAACACATACCCAGAGGCCATAGGTAGGTTACTTGCCTTTCATTTTCACATTTCCAAAATGAGGGTTTGAACCAGATGGCTTTGAAGTGCCTCCAGTTCCCACACGCGTTGGTTTTCAATCAAAATTGTAGGTCTGTTGATTTCCATTGTTCAGCTTCATGGATGCTGACTCATGAACAGCCTCCCCCAGCACACACACAAACACCACAGGCACCCACACCCCTCTACCTTGGATGCACCCATTCATGCTTCAGATCCCACAAACTGATCAGGCGCCTATATTGAGAGCAGCAGGGTGTAAAAAACAGGCAAAGAGCTGGAATTGTATTTTCTTTTAAATCTTTATTTATCCTTTTCATTCCTTTATCCCACCAATGCAAATTGCGGAGAACAGCTGGAAGCCACGTCAGAGCGGCACAGGCCAGCTGGCTGAGTGATGCTGACCGCTGGCTCCGAGCATCGAGCATCGCAGAGATCACAACGGGCATCAGCTCTGGAGCTCCTAGCGGCAGGCACAGGGCTGCTGGAGGCCCGCAGGGAGGGCCGCCTCCCAGCTTCCACAGTAGTTTGGCCTTAAAAACACTAAGAACAGTTGCATTCATTGTCTTTTTTTTTCTTCTTTTTTTCCTTTAATAATAAAAAAGAAAACCAAAACCTCCTATAATTTATAAGCTATGTTTGACTATCTACATTATATAGAAAATATAGACTCTGTTTACTTTATAACACACATCTTTTTCCCTTGATAAATAACTCTTTAAAATATCTAGTATACATGCCTTGACTTCTTATATATATAAGTTTGGTTTTATACATATACATACATATATACTCATGTTTGTAAAACACAATAAATATATACTCGACAATGACAGCCAAACAAATGCCATTTTGGTTAAAAAACACAACAACAACAATAAAAAGCAGATGAAGTACTATAAAAGCACCAGGCAGCAGACAGAAAGTCACATTTGCTAGAAACTTCTCCCTCCCCTGGGCAAGGCACAGGGCAGAATACTAAATACGTCCAGGTGCCTGAAAGAGAAGGAAGGCAGCAAAGGAATGGGTCAGATCACAAGCTTTTGTTTTGTTTCTTAGCCTGGGATTAGACCAAGAATCACAAGTAAGTCATTGCGTTTATAAGGAAAAACCAAGGGGCTCATTCAACAGCTTAGCCCTTGTGGTGGCTGCAGGGGACAGTAGAGACCTGGAAGGGGAAGGAGAGAGACAGTGACCTGGTGACAACTCCATGACTATTGTCTAGCCCCTGCCTACATCTGCCCAGGCAAGCTTTTGATTGCCACACTAAGCATCAAGCCATTGCATATAATATGTTCTTTTCATGACTCTATTCACTGCTGGTGTAAACAGAAAGGAGTATTCAGTAGTGCAACACTTTGGGAGGCTGAATGAGAGCCACAGTTTCGGTGGCCCCCTCAAGGGCTCCAGCAAATGGGGACTGTGACGTGGGGGAGAAAAAGGCCAGTGGGCCATTGCCTTCCACTCCTGAGACAGTACCGGCTTCACCTCCAGATGCCACTGGGAACACTGAGCCCATCACCTTTTAAAGAAGCGCAGGAGGTCTTGACTCTTCCTATGAGAAGTCCCAGAAGCCCCAGTCAGTCTGGGTGGGGGGTCCCCTGAAACTCAGAGCACGCTCCAGCTGCTGGCTCCTGTGCCTGGCGGGGAGAAGGTGGAGAGGCGGGCATGCCTGCCGCTGAGAAAGACATAATAACGCTCCAGCTGCACACCCCTTTTCTTCCACGGCCCTCCTCTTTCTCCCCAAAAGGAAACTAAAATGTGGGGTTCTGATCATTGATTTTTAAACAAGCTCCCCAATGTCATGGCCTCTGCTCTGTAAACTCCAAGGCTCTGATGGCCAAAAACGTAGGCGGTGGTGGAGCAGTAGGCGGTGTCAAGGCTAGATTTGTATTAATATCTAGGAGTGGGGTGGGGATGCAGGTGGAGGGTGAGCCAAGTAGACCAAGCCTCAGGAAATCCCAGAGGTGAAGATTTGATGCACATCCCCCATCCTTGCCAAATAAAATACAAGTTAGAGGTCATTGTTCACATTACAGTCACAATGGGACATTTTAAACAGCTCGTTTTCTGAGTACATTCAAGACATAATTGAATTTATTTTAAAAAATGGATTTCCCGGCTGGGCACGGTGGATCACGCCTGTCATCCCAGCACTTTGGGAGGTCAAGGCGGGCGGATCACAAGGTCAGGAGTTCAAGACCAGCCTGACCAATATGGGGAAACCTTGTCTCTACTAAAAATACAAAAATTAGCCGGGCATGGTGGCGTGCGTCTGTAATCCCAGCTACTCAGGAGGCTGAGGCAGGAGAATCGCTTGAACCCGGGAGGCGGTGTTGCAGTGAGCTGAGATCACGCCATTGCACTCCAGCCTGGGTGACAGAGTAAGACTCTGTCTCAAAAAAAAAAAAAAAAGGATTTCCAGATTTCCCTGCAACTGCTCAGCGAATTGAGGTCCAATGCAGGTCTAATTCCAACTTCTCTGCCACTAGCCACAGGACTTCAGACAAGTCACTTCATCTCTCTGAGCCTCCTTTCCCTAGAGCTCTGGAGGTGCTATGTGAGGCAGCATGAGACTTAAGAGGCAGAAAACCTGACTTTTTGTCCTGGCTCTACCACTAAAGATGTGGGTGGCCTTGACCATCACTCTCTGTTATGTAAAACAAAAGGACGGCTATTGGACTGTGAAGCCCCTTCAGATGCAGCTGAATTTACCTTCTGCCCAGAAAATCATTAACAAAGCTGATTCTGCCCCCAGTACCCACCAGAATGCAAGAGATCAGATCAGAAACCCAACTTATGATCACAGGCCAAATTCAATAGCTGTGGCTATGAGACAAGATGAAGAGAGTAGGGGTGCAAAGAAAGGTGCAGTGCACAGCTAAAATTGGAGTGACAAACAAACGAACTTTAAAGCCCCACTCCCTGAGAAAGGACATTTTCCTACGTTATATTCAGACCCCCAAGAGCAAATTCCAAGGCCATCTATAATAGTCAGCCAACAAGATTTTGAAAATCCCCAGCCCTGAGGCTTGCTGCATCACCTACAATCAAAATGAACATAGGAAGTCAATTTTAAAAAAGGCTGAGTGATATTTCCATTTTGGAATGGGAAGAAACACTGGCTACTTCTATGTGCAGCTCTACAGCCTCCTGGCAGAACATCAGATGTTGCATCCTGCTGAACAGGAGGGTGCTGACAGCAGGCTGAGTGGAGCCGCAGGTTAGTCCATGCTTGTCACAGTCCTTCCTGGGTGTGAGAGCAGACCCCGTAGACATTGATAAGGAGCGGTTTCCTGCCTGGCAAGAACAGGAGGTGCCCACATCTCTTCCTGGGAGGCAGTGTGGTCTGGAGGAGAAGATTAAGGATTTGAATGACCTCATTTCTGCCTAACAGTTGTGTGACTTTGAACAAGTTCCTCTTCCTCTTACTGCCTCCATTTTCTCATGTGTATAAAAGAAATAGCAATACCCAACACTATAGGGTTGTTTTTATGGATTGTATGAGATAACATACTTAAAATACTCTGCACACAGTGGACAAGTCTTGGAGTTGGCCAGTCTTGGAGTTGGCCAAGACTACCCTAGAGTCCAGATATAACTGGCACAGTGGTATTTGCTGCCATGTAGGCTAAGGGGGGTCTGGGGTGCCCTACAATGCAATTGTCTGTTGAGAGGAGAAGTCTTGGAGGAGCTGACAGTGATCACAGATTCAAACTTTTCAAATAGGCCCAGGGCACTCCCAAACATTTTTTAAATACCAGGTAAGAACCCTGACCCACACCCTCCCTCATAACTTGGAATCTAGGCCATTCGCACATTGATGGGAACGAAACAGGCATGCAGGAACTAAATGGGAAGACTCTTAAAGCACTGCCTCCTTGCATCGAGGCCCTTGAAACACATTAAACAAAGCAGAAAGGAGCCAAAAGATTGCTGGGTTTTAGTCCTAGGTCAAAGTCAGCTGTGGGTACCCAGACCCCTAAAGGCATGATGAACGGTGCTGGGCTGAAACAAAGTCCTTCTGCAGAACACTGTTGAAGGCTAGAGATTTCAGCTTCATATAGCTACCCCAAATCAAGTCTTTGCATGTGGTGGGATAAGGGCAAATGGAGCACTAAAGGAGTATCTCAAACCCATTTGCTACAGTTTATATTTAAAGAAAATGAACTATCCAGTTCTTTTCTTTCTCTTGTTCCTTCACCTACCTACTACATGCATTTCAGTAGATAAAATTTGAGTACACACACTAAAATATTTTTTCATGCCTCTTTTAAAGAATATATGTTCTTTCTAATACCCCAGCTTCAAATGAGATTTTTTGTTTTAGACATTAAATATGTATTACAGAGCTTAGAGGCCTTTGTGGGGACCTCTCTCCAAAACCCGAAGTTTTGGGAAAAGATTTCGCGAGTATTATGGTTTAGTACAGAAACATACAATTGAAACCCCAGGAATATCCCTATTTAGGTTATGAATGACTTAGAAAAATGAAACCCATTGAATCATTTTGTTTACTTTCCCTTCATCCTTAATCGGAGCCCTTCAGGCTAGCTAGAAAATAATAATAATAATAATTCCAATGTTTCCCCAAAAACTACTTTCCCAGGGAGCAATTTAGAAGAACCAGAATCAGCTGGGTGTGGTGGCTCACGCCTGCAACCCCAGCACTTTGCAAGGCCAAGGCAGGTGGATCAAGAGGTCAGGAGATCGAGACCATGCTGGCTAATACAGTGAAACCCCGTCTCTACTAAAAATACAAAAAATTAGCCGGCTGTGGTGGCAGCCACCCGTAGTCCCTGCTGCTCGGGAGGCTGAGACAGGAGAATCGCTTGAACCTGGGAGGCAGAGGTTGCAGTGAGCTGAGATCACACCACTGCACTCCAGCTTGGGTGACAGAGCGAGACTCCATTTCAAAAAAAAAAAAAAAAAAAGAAGAAGAATGTGAACCAAAGCAGTCCATGACATGGGCCTCTGTTCAAACTATTATTGGGAGACTTCCATTCCAGCAAATCTCTGGTTTGGAACTGATAGCTGCAAGAGCTGGAATGCTGACCATGAAGTCTGTCAGCAACAGGTCAGGGACCACAACAAACCACGCATGGAATTTCAGCTTACCCACCCTGCAGTGCTGTAGCAAAGCCTCGGGAAGCAGGGCGACTCTTTCCAGGAAGGCAGTACTTACTTCTCTGTTCTAGAAAATGCCCAGCATTCCCCTCGTGTTTGGACACACCACACTTGCACCTATGAGTAGCCTGGGCTTCAAAGAATATTGACCCTAGGGAGGACAATGAAGGATGCAACTGATTGGGCTGTTCATTCTCAGATTTTGCCTACACAGGCTGGAGGTGGACTCCAGTCCTCTTAGATTCCCTTCTAGTTCCAATGGCAGCTATCTGAAAAGAACTCTAAACCTCAGTTGCATGTAAAGACACCTGTTGGACTTCAGTGAGCCTGTGAACAAAAGCTACGTAGACTTATGAGGAATGGCTTCCACGTCCACACTTGACAAATGTCTTACGTGGGGTGAAGAATTAAACAAAGATAACAAAGGATAATTCCCTGTTCTCTGAATGCACTTGATTGGCTCTTTCTTTCAAGACCAGATCTGAATTTTTAAAGAATGGTTTCAGCGACATTTGTCGGTAGCAACCATTCAAAAATCTGTGTGTGTGTGTGTGTGTGTGTGTGTGCACGTGCATGTGTGTGTGTGTCTGTTCCCTTTTGGCACTGCCTGCTCCCAGCCTGCAGTTCAGCATCTCTAACAAAACTCTGTAAGCAGAGTGTGCAAGGACAAGACAGACAGCAGACCAATTAGAAGAACATGTTTTTTCCAACATTAGCCTTTTCAAGCCTAAGTATGGCCCCTTAAGGGGTTCTAAACCCCCATTTTAGAAACACTAGAAATAATGTTCCTTGTTGTCCTTTTGTTTTGTTTCGTTTAGTACCTACCCCCAAATTCTCAGGTGTCAGAATCCTGAAAGCAAATGCTGGAGCTAAGGAAAATCCTTTTTTTTTTTTTTTTTTTTTTTTTTTTTGTAAGGAAAGAGGATTCTGATTGGAACTGAAGGCTTCCTTTCTAAATCCACAAAGCTGGATGAATCTCCTAAAAGCTCTTGCCCAGCTTGGTAGGAGAGATGCGCGATAGAGCCCCAAACACCTCCTGGCTAGGCTCACTTTACCCTCTATTTAGGAATTCACACTGCAACACTGAGGCACACAGCTCTCCCCAGTCTTTGGGGGCAGCATATGAGCTTATGGCCAAACCCATACTTTGTGCTGTCTTCTTGGCCCTGCCTGGAGAGCCACGTGGCAGGGCTACCTTAACACCGCAGTAATCCCTCTGATACTCAATTCCACCTTTACTGGAAATAGTGTTATAAGGTGACTCCTTGCAGTTTTTTAATTGTTGACAAGTTCAAAGGGATATTTTATTCTCTGCTGCCCCTGCTTTGGTGCAGCCTGTGCTCTTTTCTTGTGGCTCCTGGGAGTCCTGCTTTTTGCTTGCTATTTCTGACCTCTCTTTCTCTACCAGGTGAAGGGCAATGAACCAAGTACAAAGACACACCCTCAGTGCTTCCTATGAGGAAGCCCAATCAATCAAAAGGTGGCCACTTTGCTACTAAGTACTTTTGCCGTTAGATACCTTATATCCAATAAAAAGTGGCTTCCTGGAATTTGAACTTTCTCACCAGCCCATCCCACCCCCAACCCCAGCCTAACACGCTTCTGTGGACTGTGAAAATGGGCCTTCTCCTGCCAGCAGTGGGTATCCCGGGCACTGAGCTTGCCATCTGATACTAGTGCCTTGACCTTGCAGAACCACTTGGCTTGCAGAAGGCCAAGGTGTGTGGGATGGATGAGGTAGGGAGGGAAGCAACCCCTCCTTGCTTGTCACAGTAAAGGGCAGCAGAGGCAGCTAAACCAAACCACTCTCGTGCAAATACCCAGCAGGGATCATCCCAGGAATGGCAGGCTCTCCTGAATGCTTCCAGGCTAGGAGCTCAGCCCACCAACAGTCTGGTTTGGGGTCGGTCACCGGGATTGGAGTTTACCTTCCTAGATGCCATTTATTCACACTGTCCCTCCACCTCCCTGATCCCCACATTCCCCATGGTCACCCTCTCCCCTCGGCCCTTCCCTCTCTGTGGACATCCCCTGCAGAAGGCTCAAGTCCCCGAGGTTCTCAATCTGTGCTAACAGTAGAGGGACATCCTGCTGCGGCGCATGGCCTCGCTGATCAGGTAGGCGGGGCTCAGCTCCGGCTCCTCGGTCATGATGGCAATGTTCTGCCACTCGCCCGTCTGGCTGGACCTCTTGATGGTGTCCACCACGCACAAGGCATACAGGCAGTCGTCGAAGGTGGCGGCCATGGTGAGGGGCCGCCCATCCCACGTGCGCCGGTCGTCCTGGTCCTGGAAGGCCTGGCGCACCGCCTGCATCATCTTGATGGTGCCGCGCAGGTAGGGCGAGGGGATGTCGCTGAAGGCCTTCTCCGGAAGCAGGGAGTTGCTCACCGGCGTGGCGTCCTGCACCAGCAGCTCCTGCTCCGGGGCGCTGTTGCGCTGCCCGTACAGGTCGGTGCCCACGGCCAGCAGGCGCCCGGCTGAGCCCACCACAGTGACATCCTGCTTGAACTCGCCGGGCACGTTGAAGTTGAGGGTGACGGTGCAGCACACCCCGCCCTCCAGCACCATCTGGAAGGTGCAGAAGTCATCGCTGGTGATCTGTCGGATGCCCTTGATGTGGTCAGTCTGCTTCACGAAGGTCTTGAGCAGCCCGTGGACCTTGACGGCCTTTTGGCCGGTGAGGAAGGTGAGCAGGTCGATGATGTAGGTGCCCACGGAGTGCAGGCCGCCGCCGCCCATCAAGTCGTCGCAGCTCCAGTTGTACTTCTTGCCCAGCAGGCTGCCGCCGTGCACCTGCACCTCACACACCAGCGGCTCGCCCACGTAGCCCTCCTCGATCAGCTGCTTCATGCGCACGAAAGCCGGCAGGAAGCGCAGCACGTTGCCCATGATGCTCATGAGCTTGGGGTAGTAGTGGGCGGCCGAGGTCATGCGGAAAGCGTCCAGCGGCGTGGCCGTGCGGTCGCAGATGACGTTCTTGCCGATGCCTGCGGGTGGGAGGAAGACAGCGGTCAGCGGGGCAGGACCATGTCCGAGCGCGCGTCCCTGGGTCAGATCTTAAAATATTTCACATTAATAGAAAAAGAAGGTCAGATGTGGTGGCTCATGCCTGTTGTCCCAGCACTTTGGGAGGCCAAGGCCGGAGGAGGCCTTGAGCCCAGGAGTTGGAGGCCAGCCTGGGTAACACAGAGAGATCCTGTCTCAATAATAATAATAATAATAATAATAATAATAATAATAATAATAATGAGCCGGGCGTGGTGGTGCACGCCTGTGGTCCCAGCTACTCAGGAGGCCGAAGTGGGAGGATCACTTGAGCCCAGGAGGTTGAGGCTGCAGTGAGCTATGTTCTGGCCGCTGCAGTGAGCTATGTTCTGGCCACTGCACTCCAGCCTGGGGACAGCAAGACTCTGTCTCAAAAAATAAAAAATAATGAAAATAAAAAAGATATTCTATATATTTCAATATTACTTTAAATATTTATGTTGCATTACTTAATTTGTTGTTTTTTGTTTGTTTGTTTTTGAGACAGAATCTCACTGTTCCCCAGGCTGCATTGCAGTGGTGCGATCATAGCTAACTGCAGCCTCAAATCTCTGGGCTCAAGCAATCCTCCTGCCTCAGCCTCCTGAGTAGCTAAGACAGTAGGTGCCACCACACCTAGCTAAACTTTTTTTTGAGATGGATTCTCACCCTATCACCCAGGCTGGAGTGCAATGGCACCATCTCGGCTCACTGCAACCTCCACCTCCTGGGTTCAAACGATTCTCCTGCCTCAGCCTCCCGAGTAGTTGAGATTACAGGCGCCCGCCACCATGCCCAGCTAATTTTTGTATTTTTAGTAGAGATGGGGTTTCACCATGTTTGCCAGGCTAGTCTGGAACTCCTGACCTCATGATCCGCCCACCTCAGCCTCCCAAAGTTCTGGGATTACAGGCGTGAGCCACTGCGCCCAGCCATTTTTTTTTTTTAAAAGAGATGGGGTCTCCAATTTTTTTTTAAGAGACAGGGGTCTCCTTATATTGTTCAGGCCGGTCTCGAATTCCTGGTCTTAAGTGGTCCCCTACCCTCTAAGTCCCCAAAGTGCTGGGATTACAGGTGTCCTGGTCCCAAAAGGCCATGACTTACTTAATTTTAATGTTAAATGTCTGGTATTGATTTAAATAGTAAGGTTTATTTTAAGATATTTAAGTAACCTATATTTTAGAAATGTTTAACAATATTTGCTAAGGTAGTATAAAATGCTTCATTTTATATTTTATTTATATAAACCTATAACATTTTAAACAGAAATAGATTTTGCTTTTATGTTATTTAAATACAAAATATTAGATAGTACTATTAAAGTATACAATATAATCTTTTTACATATAAAATATATTGTTACAGTTATCATATATATAAAATGTTTGATATGTTGTATTTTATATTTAAAATATCATTTTTAGTAAAAGTGTATTATTATTAAAAATCATATAGTGAAAGGAGAAGAGTGCCTGTATTTGGACAGAATAAGAATACATAAACTTAAATCCTAGCCAAGGTAAGTCTAATTAAGTCTGAAGAACTTCTTATTGATACCCTTTGAAGGTCTAAGCTTTTGGCTAATGTCTTCCCCTCTCCACCCCTCACAATTCCCCAGGATTGTATTTTGAGCATTATCATGCTTGTTTATTTTGCATTCTGGATTAGGGCTGGCAGTGGTCACAGATGTGTTCGTTTAACGTTTTTCTTTTCCTACAAAGAGCGGATATCACCTAAATCTGAGGAGTTGGCAGTGCCTGCTTCCTTCCCGACCCCCATCTGCTTCAGGGTGGGGTATGTTGCTTTTGGCCAGTGGAGGTCAGGCCAAATAAGATTTAGTCTTATGTGATGACTGTGATGTGTGTATAAATTACACAGAGACCAAAATGCCTCTCTGAGCCCTTTAGGAGACTAAGTGGTTCTGGGTCTGGGGAAAACAAAGGATCAAAGGAAAGGAGAGTGGCAGGGAATGAGAAAGGGATTTATTTCATGGAAGCCAAGAGTCAGGGAAGAAGAAAAACAACTCAGCTGGACCTGGAGAAACAGCCAACTGGAGGGCAAGAAAAAAAAAAAAAAGAATGACACAGATTTGTTAGCAAGTCAGATAAAACAGACGCTAGGCAAAAAGACTTGGGAGTCAAAGCACCTGTCCTGGGGCAGGTCTCTGTGGTCTAGGCATGCTCACCCATAGACCCTCTAATGGAGACCTGGGCACTCCAGCCGCAGATGTGGGAGAGACCCCAAGAGAAATGGGGTGATGAGACACACGCCACCCTATCCCACTTGTCCTGACTACAGACACTCAATTGACAAAATCCACGAACACTTACAACGTGCTGAGCTAAGATGGGGTTTTGTAGAAGTCGTGAGATTGCAGATGTCTGTCCAGGGCCACAGCCTGGCACATGGCTTTCTCATTTTCCCAGTGGAAGAGCTAGCCAAATCCTAGAACTGGTCGGTACAGATTGGAGAAAGGAAATACAAACCATGGCTGTCAGTTTCCACGTGCACATCTAGTTCTGGCCCTGAGTGAAAAGCCTGGAGCCTACAGAATGACCACACCTCCTTGCCTTTTCTTCTATGTTGGCAGAGCTGGGCTGGTGCCCCTGATGGCCATGAAATAGCAGTGAGAAGCTCTTTTAGTGCTTAGCAACCAGATGAGGACTGAGGCTCCGGCAGAGAGATAAGATAACATTGGTTTGTATCGCCAAAAGTGCCACACACCTGTGTAACATTATGTTCTGACAATATGATCCCGTAGGCATAAGGCTCATCTAACACCAGCTCATGCTACCAGGAACAGATTTATATGTAAATGCAGCGGTAGGTCACTGCAGGGACAGGTGATAAATACTGCCAAAATCTGCCTCACACCCATTGGGTGTAGGCTCTGGCCTCTACTACACCCTATTTCAAGGTCCCCAAAAGCAGGATCCTGACTGCCATCTGCTTAGTATACGCTATTGGTCATATTAATGGCACTTAAGAAAAGGTTTTTATTTTTTTCTATTATAAAAACTATAAAATAAAATAATAAAAGAAGAATAATTAGAGAAAAATGATCCACACCCCTTCCCTACACACCCAAAACAATGATTGCATGGAATTCTTTGCAGCTCCATAGATAAAGAGATTTTGATGAAAGCTCCAGAAGATGTAAAATGAACATGACATGATATACAAAAATGCAACTCCACCCTGAGACTCACATGTGGATTCCCCAGGGATCTGAGACACACACATCCCTTCAGGCTATTTATTAGGTTGCTGCAAATGTAATTGTGGTTTTACCACTGAAAGTAATTGTGGTGCCCTCTTTTTAATGGTAAAACTGCAATTACTTTTGCACCAACCTAATATATATGATATGGCTCCACATTATACAGTAAGGCCCTCAAGGATAAGGGCTGGGTTGTTTAATGCTTAAGTCTCCATTAATACCCACAGCACCCTGTGGTGCATCCAGTGTGCAGCAGGAACCCAGCAAACCTTGTTGCCTGCCCCACCTTTGTGCCCACAGTCTTTTGCAACATTCATGCTTTACAGATGGGTCTCGGCAACATCTTAACACACGATATCTTCAAAAGTCAAACGAGACTTCTAGGAATTTCTCATAAAGAACTAATCCAATATGCAAGCATGGCTTCTTGCCCAAAGATAGTTTTGACTGCATTATTTATTATAGCAAAAAACTGGGAACAGAGGTTGGATGCAGTGGCTTCACGCCCATAATTCTGGAGTTTTGGGGAGATCACTTGAGGCCAGGAGTTTGAGACCAGTCTGGACAACATAGCAAGATCCCATTTCTTAAAAAAAGCCAGGCGTGGTGATGCATGCCTGTAGTCCCAGCTACTTAGGAGGCTGAGGTGGGAGCATCACTTAAGCCCAGGAGTTTAAAGCTGCAGTGAGCTATGACTGTGTCACTGCACTCCAGCCTAGGTGACAGTGAGACCCTGTCTCAAAACAAAAAACAAAACAACTATGAGCAACGCAAATACCCAACAGAAAAAGGGTTAAGTCAACTGTCATGCAGCCATATAATAGAATATTGTGCAACCATAGAAAATGATGCTTATGGAGACTTTTCAATGGCAAGTAAGATGATTATGATGTAATGTTAAATGAAAAGGGCTCTATTCATAGACATATATGATCTCAACCCTCTCTGAAATGACAAAAGAAAAAGAAAAACCCTAGGAGGTTTACTCTGATTAGTAGGAGTGGTTGGATTAGTAGGATTATGATTGATTTTATTTTCTTCACATTTTTCCATATTTTCTAAATTTGTAATTTTATGGTCAGAAAAAAAAAGCTAATTAAAAAAATCCACAAAGAGACAGGAAGACCTTTGAAGGACAGCACTCACAATAATGGAAAAAGGGTCCTCCAAAGTCTAGGGGAGCTGGCAGGTCCCAGCTCTCATGGGCCCATCCCAGTTCCTGAGCCCCAGAGAGCTGGTAGAAGGTTCTGCTGACCCTGAATCTTGAAAGCTTCAGAAGCCCGGGCTCTGTTGCCAGGTCTTCTTGCTCCATTTGCTCAAGACCTCTTTATGATTCTTACTGAAAGCTGTGGACTCTCTCTCCAAAACATGCAACTCAGACAGATGCACAAAACTCTGCCACAACCTGAAGCCCATGCACGGATCCCCTCCGGTTCTGAGGCCCAGGCATCATCATACATTCACAATAAATTCTTAAAGGCTTTGGGACATATTGTTAAAAATAAGATAATCCTTCCAGTTCCAAAAGGAACCCAAAACGCAGAGCCAGCAGACCCTTCACGAATTGCTAAGCAAAGTTTGTTTTCTCTGCATTCTGGACAGTCTTCCCTTACCCTACCTCTCTCGGTGGGCTTCTGAAAAGCCCACTCTGAGATCCTCAAGATCCTCAGGTTTTTTCTTTTTCCAGCTTTTCCCCACCCAAATCTTCGCTATCAAAAGGTTCTTGCTAAAGGAGCACAATTCTAAGTATAGACTTCTAGTCAGACACTGTGTGTGTGTGTATATGTGTTTATGTGTGTGTGTGTGTATGTATGTATGTGTGTAGGTGGATTAGTGTGGCACAGAGCATTCCTCTCATCCCTAAAACCACGTGCAACGTAAAGGGAACTTGCATTGTCTGAGTGTGTGGTTGACATACCCCACAATCCTGGGTGTGTCAGATGCCATTCACTGTATGCTGGGATTTCTCCCGAAGAAAGCACACAGGTACCTGTTCTGCAAACTGCCTGTCTGTCAGCCTGGGCTTTGGACTCGGCTCTCCAGCAAATACCACAGGTATTTGATCTTCTCATGACAATCATCTGTCTTAGCATAGGAGAAAGCACCAAAATGGCTCTTTAGAGAAAAGCACTCTCTCCCATTTAATGTAGGAAATAAGTAGAGGCAGTCTTGCACTCTTCTCTAAGCACGTGGCTATGACATTTCTTTGACTTGAGGGTAAGTAGATTCTACCGGGAAGACAGAAAATGAGGGGTTCAGGCAGAGGCAGAGGCCCTGTTTTCTTATAAGCCCTTTACAGCCATGGCTAATTTCCTAATGGAGAAACCTACAAAGGCTTTCCCCCTTTTGCCATGAGAAAAGAATACTGCCCTAGGTCACTGTGCACAGCCTAAGGAGGCCATCTGCACTTTCTTACTCCTAGGTGAACAACTTCCCTGAAAAGACAAGGGAGCCACTTGTCCCATGCTGAGTCCACACACCTCTGGGAGCACCAGGCCAACACACGTTCTTTAGGTCTCAGGTTTACATCCTCTTGTGGCAAAATGTGGTGCCCACTTTCTGAGGCAAAAAGATCAAAAACTTTGGGACTTCAAACAATTTCAGAGATAAAAATCATGCTGCAGAGAATTAGGCAAAGGGACTTGGAACATATGGACTCTATTTCACTCCAGATTAACAGGCAGTGAAAAATGAAAACCATGAAAACAAGAAGTGCCTGAGAAAGTATGTTTTGTGTTTTGCCAAGCCCCAAACATTTCCCAAGTGGTGGGAGAGGTCTGGCAAAGTCCCCTGGTGCTCTCAATGGTGGTAGAGGAACGGGAGGGGCTTTCTGTGCACATGCGGGTATGATGGGTGAGGGTCACTCTGCTGCATCCATCCAGGACTGTGAACCATCACGCCACGGCTCCATGCTCAGCTCGCCCCCCTGAGGGCTCTGTCCCTGCATCCAGAAATGGCTGTCTTGGAGGGTTGCCGCATCTGTCAATGTGATGCAGTGTGACCACGGGTGAGTGGCAGAAAGCACACGAGGACTGGCCTGAGTCTTCTGGGGAGGCCTTCACAACTCACTCCACAAAGACCAGGCAGCCCTTTGTGTGAGAACAAAGAGCTAAAGCTGGGTCTTTTGAAGGCTTTGGGGCTTGAACCAACTTAAAATTTTAAGACAATATCCTCTCAGCAGCAAATAAAGCGAAGCTATCTGTCTTTAAAATGGTGGAGCTGAGAGATACCTTCCAACCTATGTTGCCGTGCTGTAATTAGGAGCAAAATGAGATCCGTGGGAAACTTCTGACGGGTTAGAGTGCTATGTGCAAGGCAGTGTGCCTGATCTTCATCAGAAGCTTTTAAGTTAAATAATTTCAGAAGAAGCTTTACTGCCCTCCTGAGATCCCTCATGGGGAAATGGAAAATCAGCTCCCTCCGAAGCCTGCTGAATGTGTTCTCTGTAACCGAGCCAAAATATTCATGGCCCTCCTGAGAAATCTGTGCTATAGGGAAGAGTTTCCAGCCCAGAGACCCTAAAGCCCTTCAGGCAGCTGCTCCCCTTATATCCTCCAAGCTCAGGGTCTCCAAGTTGTGGCTGAGTCTCTGCTCCTATCTCAGGACAGATCAGAGCTTTGGTGGGGCTGACACTTGATCCAAATGGTACCCCTGGGAGTCTGGGCAAGGGGCTTCCCATTCACACCTCTAGGGAAAGATGGAGCTCTGTTGTCCCACAGAGCAGGTACCCGTTGCTGCCCTTCATCAGGGAAGTTATCCCTGGGTACCTGAAGGATGGCTGACACCTGGCCACCCAGGGACCAGGGCTGTTCCCTAACATAATCAGCCTGGAACCTCAAGCATCCCTCCCCGTGAGCACACTTCCAATCACACAATCCCTGATCTAATCATGGTGGAAATCTCAGAGGCAATGCTACTTTCCACGAGTTCCTCCCCATCATTCCACTTGTGTTGACAGCCCCTTATCTTCTAGAAGCCAAAACGGATGCTAGTTCTGCAGGCTGGCTTGCAGCTGTCCCAGCAGATTGGCAGAGCCCCCAAAAGAAGTCCCATCAGATATGGCTTCCTATTTTTTCCTCGCATTTGCAGAAGGTAGAGACGGCTTGCTTTGCATTTCAAGTAGGGAACTCATTATCTTCATTTATACTTTGTTCCTTCAACATTTCTGTGCTAGGCACTGGGACCAAAAAATGAGTAAGAAAGATGAATAAGAGCTCACAGTCTAGTAGAGGAGACCAATCAGGAAAGGCGTGATTATGGAATGCAGATCTCAGAAAGTGATAAACAATGAAACCATGAAGGAAGGGCTGCCCAACCGATTTGGGCATGGAAGAAAGTTTTGCTGGAGAGGGAACGTTTGAGCTGGGTTCTGAAGCATGCATAGGAGCTTGCCTATTCATCATTCAGAGTTTGGTTCGGGTATAAAAAATGGTCTAAAATAAGATTAATGGTGTTTAATGTGGAATCTGGGAAACTGCTAATACTGGACTGTTTATAAAAACTGTTGTGTGTATATCCTGATGCACAGTTTTCTGAGAGAGGTTCATTAGATTCTTAAAATAATCTGTGATTCAAGAAAGATTAAGCAGAATTGGAGTTTAGAGTAAAGAAAAAGAAAAAAGGCAGGTCAAAGACAAATCTCTGGTTTCAACAGAACTAAGCATATGAACAGAGCTATTTATAATCCCTCCATCCCTGCACCCTGAGACATGGGACATTTAGTCACTTTCACTCTCTCACTCACTTACTGCAACACTCCATTTAGCCCAGCTCTTTTTCCCCTTTTATTTTTCTTCCTGCTAATCTCCTTCCTGCTCCCCCAACACACACACACACACACACACACACACACACTACGCTTTTTTTTTTTTTTTGAAGTTAGAAACTGCAAAAGAAGTGGAAGTATCATCAGGATTGACTTGTCTAAATCTCACTCTTCCCTCTGTCCCTTCCTCCATATACATTAAAAGAGGCCATTTGAAGAGACTAAATCCCCGATTTTCAATCCCCATGAAAGTTCTTAACATCAATACAACTTCCCAACTCAAAAGACTAGTCTGATCTGCTCATAGCACAAATGGTACAATTTCAAATAGCAACAACAGTCATTTATTGAGTGCTTACTTTGTGCCAGAGGAGGCACAATGTATTTTGCATGCATTTTCATGTTTTAGTCTACACAACCAGGTACTTGTCCTGTTCCCATCTTACAGATGTGGAAACTGAGCCTCTGAGGGGTAAGCAACTTGCCTCTGATTCCACAACTCGATAGTAGTAGAGTCAAATCTGGAATTTGAACCCAGATTGTCTGGCTACAAAGCCAGCCTAGTCTTTTTAAAAATATGTTTTTTTTTTGTGTGTGTGTGTGTGTGTGTGTGTGTGTGTGTTTGTTTTTTTTTTTTGAGACAGAGTCTCACTCTATCGCCTAGGCTGGAGTGCAGTGGTACAATCTCAACTCACTGCAACCTCCGCCTCCCAGGTTCAAGCCATTCTCCTGCTCAGTCTCCTTAGTAGCTGGGGTTACAGGCATGCACCTGTAATGCACCTGGCTCATTTTTGTAATTTTAGTAGAGACAGAGTTTCTCCATGTTGGCCAGGCTGGTCTTGAACTCCTGACCTCAAGTGATCTGCCTGTCTCAGCCTCCCAAAGTGCTGGGATTACAGGTGTGAACCACCACGCCCAGCCAAAAATAAGTTTTTTTAATTGACACGTAATAATTATACATATTGCTGGGGTATAGTGATGTTTCAATACATATAATGTATAGTGATCAGATCAAGGTAATTAGCATATTCATCATCTCAAATCTTTTTTTTTTTTTTTTTTTTTTTTGAGATCAAGTTTCACTCTTGTCTTTTGTTGCCCAGGCTGGAGTGCAACAGTGCAATCTCAGCTTACTGCAACCTCTGCCTCCCGGGCTCAAGCAATTCTCCTGTCTCAGCCTCCCAAGTAGCTGGGATTATAGGCATGTGCCACCAAGCCCAGCTAATTTTGTATTTTTTAGTAGAGACAGGATTTCTCCATGTTGGTCAAGCTGGTCTCAAACTCCCAACCTCAGGTGATCTGCCCACCTTGACCTCCCAAAGTGCTGGGATTACAGGCATGAACCACTGCACCCATGCCAAAGAAATCAAATCTTTATGATTTCTTTGTGTTGGGAACATTCAGTATTCTCCTTATAGCTATTTGAAAATATACAATAAATTGTTGCTAATTACAGTCACCCTACAGTGCTATAGAACGCTAGGACTTATTCCTCCCATCAAGTCGTACTTTGGGTCTGATCTGAACTTTTGCACCCTTGCTGCCTTCTGATCACCCTTCTCTTAAGGCTGGCTAGGTTATTCTTTGCACCCATGTCACCCAGAGATACACGCTCCTATTTTTACTGGCTACACTTGCCTGTGCACATATATGCAATGTCTGCAGCACACAGCACAAAAGGAGGGCTCTGAAGACAATCATGCGACTGACTGCAGTGAGCTTCAGAAACCAGGGCGGTGGGGATGGGAGGCCCGATGTTCTGCTGGGTGACATCTAAAGTCTCAGGGCAATTTGATTAAGTTTCCATCCTAATTTCACACCTGAAACGGAAATGGGTCAGAGTGACTCATATTCAGCTCCTGTGTTAAAGCTCCTGGGGCTATCAGTGGGCTTGGAAAGAGGGTTACAGCCAGTGAAAGGAAGTCAGGATGGCTGATGTTGATGGGACTTAGTGTTGAACTGAATTAATTGCTCAAGTGCTTTCTACATTCAACCCGCCCATAAGGCCAAGCCCCTATCCCACCAACCCCTTTGTGAACCGTCCCCCATGACTCAAGCCTGTTGCCTGGGCCCTCTTATTGCCCAGGAACCCCCATTAGCACGGGGATTTTCTCAGATTGCTTCGTGTGCATTTGGTCATCTAATGACGGAAACTATCACATGTGTAATGAGCATTTACTCCTGAAACACTTTCGAATTTCTGTTACCTTATTGGTAAATCCCATACATCTCCATCTCTACAGCTTATATTTGAGGCTACAGTTGAGAATGCAGATATGATATTGGGGAGTCACTAGCCAGCTCCTTCCAGCAGGGGCATTCCCCAGGAAAGAAAAGAAAAGCTTGCTACTTCCAGCCCAAGGGAGACTGAGGGTAGAGGTCTAGAAACAACAGGTAGGTATGTAGAACCAAGAGACCTTCCAAGCTAGTGGCCAGCTTCCCATGCAGGGAGGCCTGGGGCAGTCCTCCCCTTCATGTCAGTGGCACATACAGACCAGAGTCTAAGGAGGCAGGGAGGTGGGACGGGGGCAAGAGGTCCCATGGGAGAACAGAGGTTTGGAGTTGGATACAGTGGTGACAGTGGTCAGGGACTTGCGGACAGAGGAAAATGGCCAGGACTGTGAACTCCAGCAGTTGAGTCCTGCTATATTGGTCCAAAATAGCCAAATGACAACTACTGTACCTCGGTGGTCGCTATTCTAGAGAGTGGCCTAGAACAGCCATTCTTGAGCCTACACCACCACTCCACGCTTGGACAAGCCAGGATTCACAGTGCACCCCCTGGATCCAAGGGACAGAGCCAGAGTCTCATAAGCCACACTACCCCCATAGAAAGAGCCAATTTCTGGAGTGGAAGAGGAAAAAGCAGAATGCCAAACATTGGGTCACCAGAGTCATGTAAAAGAGGCTGAGATACAAGAAAACACAAATGATTGGGTTGGGTGAGATTGCTGGGTTGAACTACAATTCCATTTCCTACCCACCCACCTAAGAGGATGGAGGCCTAGAATGGCGGTCAGCCTGGCTGTTGAGAAATAAAGGAATCTATGCTTTCTCTTCCCAAGCATGGCGTGAAACCTCATCACACATCCAAAAGGCTGGGAACCTCCTATCATCTCCCAAAGCCCTCACTTAGTCCCCAACAAAACCTCAGAATCTCCTTGTTGATTGCAAGTCAATACTTCAAGAGAAACACTATCCTCACTGTGTGTACAGTGGGAAGGCAAGATACTTTAAACTAGGCAACATCTCAGAATAAATGTAGGAAATTCTCTATTCAAGGTGGGTTGTGCTTTAGTGAAGGGATCACAAGTGTATTTACCCAGCAGATATGTTTTTTTTTTTTTTTTAAAAGCCAATATATTTCACACAGTCCTAAGTTTTGGTCTCAAAAAATGCAAAAATCCAGAAACATTGGGTTTCTTCTGCAGAGCCTCCTGCATGACAACACTCAGTTGTAGCTATCTAGTGGCTTCCACAGTTAGATGGCATGTACATCTCCAGTATACCACAGTCCTCACCAGTCTCTAGTGCATTGCTGTCCTGTATTAGTTTTGTATTGCTGCTATAACAAACCAGCACAAACTGAGCAGCTTAAAACAACACCCATTTACTGCTTTTCAGTTCTCTAGAACAGAAGTTCAGGTGGGCTCAGCTGGATCCCTGATTAGGGTTTCACACAATCATTCTGGAGAAGAATCTGCTTCCAAGCTCATTCAGGCTGTTGGTTGAACTTGGTTCCTTGTGGCTATAGGACTGAGGTCCCCATCTCCTTGCTGGCTGTCAGCTTCTACAGAGCCCACTTTCCTGCTGTGTGCCCTGCCATCTTCAAGCCAGCAACAGCATGTGGAAGTTGGATGCTTCTCATGCTTGGAAGCCCTTGGACTTCCTCTTTTGCCACCAGTGAGAGAGAATTTGCCACCTTTCCAGAGCTCCTGTGATTAGATTAGGCCCACCCAGATGATCCCCTTTTTGCCGTAGAACTAATCACAGAAGTAACACCAAGTGGCAAAGGTCCTCTTAGAATTCTACCTCCCACAGTTTCTCCAGCCCCGTCCACTCATTGTGTCACCTGCCTGCAAGCTCTAGAAACCCCCACAGAGGAAGAGTCTTAAGTATTCTCAGACATATGTCTACATTCCTTCCAAAACTCTCTTTGTTTCTGAGTTCCTTCAGTAGTTTTTACTCCATCAAAAAGAAAGACTCAGTGAGGTGCTCTAGGGTTTTTAAGATCTATTTTCAGTCCCTTGTTATCAATGAGATTGTGTCCCCACCTCTGGGCTCCCTGTAGGCAGTAGCAACAGAAACAGGTGCAGAGCAGGGCCAGAGCCTCAGTCTTGGGGCAGAAAAGGGCACAAGGAAGAGAAGAGGAGCTAAAATTGTATGTATCCACTTGGCATCAGGGGCTTCCCTTTGGCTCACTTAAGCACCACTCCAGCACCATCACCCCCATTTGTAGAAAATGGGGAACTAAGGCTTAGAGATTATGATTGCCCAAGGTCAGAGATATGTGCAGATCCAGGGTGCAAATTCAGTTCTGTGGTCCCAAAGCCCCGTGTTTTCCATTTTTCACATGAGTGGAATGGGGGATAGGATGAAACGACTGAGCCTCAGAACTACCAGATGGGTTAATAAAGGAAGTGCCAACCCCTCAGGCTCCGCCCCCAGCAGACCCCAGCATTGTATTGAGAAGATTTGGGAAATCAATGAAAGGAGGGCAGAGTCTAGAGCTTGAAGATGAAAGAACTGGAAAGCAAGAAGGGCTGGAGGCTTGACATGGGAGAACACAGTGGCTCTTCTCTTTGAAGACGAATAGCTGGTTGCTCCATATCCATGGCAGTGAACCTGCTGGGACAACTGAAAGATTATTATCGAGAAAGAGAGAGGATGGGGAAACCAGCCATTATAGTGCTGGGGTTCCTACAGGATTCCCACAGCTGAATAAAGGAAGTCCTCCCAGGGCCCCAGCCTTCCGCAAGTGGGCACCTCTCATCTCAGCCAAAGGAACCAGGCAGTGATGGGCATGCCACATACTCCACTTCCATGAACCTAGGTGCCAGCAGGAAAGCCACTGCGGGATCACATTAACCCCACCTCCTGCAGCCTAGGAACGCATGTCCTTGGAGGGATAAAAACACCTAGAGTGGCCAAAGCCTGCCCAAGAAAGGAAAGCAGCCCAGTGCTCCATGCTTCCTCCCCAAGAAACAAGAGATCCTCCTGCTTCAGCCAGAAGCAGAGGGAAACAATCAGCTTATGAGAACCCCATCTGCTGCTGGTGTGGCCTAACAGAGGCAATAAACCCCTCCTGCAGCCAGGAGGCAAACCAGCTCCAGGGCTCCACCCACAGCAGGTGGTAAACATGATTAACGTGCTACTGCCCAGAGCACTTTCACCTGCACCAGCTCCAATGGTAGACGCAGTCTGTGCCAAGGCCCAGGGAGTGGTGGGAAGATGGTAATCGTAAAAACTGACAAGTAACCTACAGTGCAATAATTGAGTGTTTGTGTGTTTGGGGGAGGAAAGGTAGTAGAGATGTGTGATTTTGGGGAGCTGCCCAGCCCCTGAATCTCCTTGCTGTGATTGGGAAATTTCCCACCTGAGAGTCTTGGTGGGTGGTACAGCCTCCCCCCATAGAAGGCACGCCAGCTGTTTGCTTTCCCAGAAGCCTTTGCAGCAAAGCCATGGGCACACAGCCAGGCTTGGCCAACCAGGGACACCACTCTGGCCTGGTACATGAGAATGGAGGAAGGTGGAGATCTGTGCTGGCAGTGGGGGTAGCAGCATCTAGTTTCTAGGGCTGTGATGCCCGTGATGCAATGACGGCTTCTATCACCCAGCACCAGCACCACTGCAAGCAACCGACTCTGTCTACACCTGATGGGTTCTCTGGTGTGATCTGGACTGTGGTTGCAGCTGCCAAGCCTTTCTTTGTTCCTTGTGTTTCTCAAGCTGACTTCCCCAGCCTCTCATACATTTCCGTGAGGAACTAAGGTCCTTTCAAATAATTCCCTTCTGCTAAAATCAGCCAGGTAGTTTCTGTTGTTGGCAATTTAAATGCCTCTTGAGTACAACAGGTTTCCAAGCTTTCTGGACCCCTTTCTGAAAAGATTGATTTGGACATGGAGGAAGCTCTGAGTGCCTATTAGTAAAGCAGCCCAAGATCTAGTGTGATTTGTCAGACAGGGAAGTGAAATGAGGGTCAGGGGACGTGGATTGAAATTCTCACCTGGCATTTGCAAGCCATGTGGCCCAAAGAAGCTTAGTTCACTTACCTGTAAAACTGGAATAATAACACCTTCTTCAACAGGCTGCTTTGAGGATGAAAGGACAGATGGGCACTGTCCTGACCCATGAAAAGTGCTCATAAATGTCTGCTCAAGTCAATAACAGACCCAAATAAAAACTACACAGGTCAGCTCTTAGAGCTGCAAGAATTCAAAACAAGTTGGTGGCAGGGAGGTAAGTGCGTGGCAGCACAGGGGATGGGAAAGATACAGACTCAAAAGCTACGTGGGTTCTAGATCTGGCTTTGCCACTCATTCCATTCCGTCTGTGAAACAGAGCTGATATCTGGTCCTGCCAGCTTTGTTAAGACTGCTGACAGTATGAAATGAATAGTATATGGGAAAGTTTGTGGAAGGAATAGGCCTACTGCAAGAAGAAAGTTATTACTGAGATGTAGTTACAAATAAAACCAAAGAATACACTTACTGTAGGGCTCTCTTCCAGGGATCCCTGGGCAGATGCTCTTATGAATGAAAACAAAATGCAAAACTGCAGCCCCCAGATCTGCCCACGTGAATATCATGATGGGGTGCTGGCGGGAGCAGCTTAGCGAATGTCAAGTTCAATTTATGACATACACACACCCCTGGCGGAGACTTGTGTTGGCATTGCTGGCTGGCTGGGGTGGCCACAGGGAGTCAAGGCTGGAAAAATGGAGGGTAGAGGTTGCCTGAGCACTTAGCTACACACATTATTAACTGCTCCCAGGAAATAAGGAAGGCTTAGCTAGCTATGCAAGGCTGTAGATTAAAACTCCTCTTTCCAAATCACAAAACCTCACTTTTGGTTGCAAGCTGATATTTTCATAGGTCTATGCTACCATCCTCACTAGGCTGAGGATCGCTGGGAAATTCGTCTTATCAACAGAGCTCAGAAACCTCAGAAATGGGCAAGGTGAGACACAGAAGTGGGGAGTGTAAGGGAATGTTTACAAAGCATCTGACCCCAGATTGCCCAGGCTTCCTCCTGCAGCCCAGAAGCCAGCAGATTTCTTCCCTCCTACAACCTCTTATCTCCAAGGGACAGTGCTTAATGTTTCACCTAGGGACCCAATGACAACCACTGAGCTGAATGAGATGGGGGTTTCAGCAAGCCCAGCTATCCAAGGCTGAAAGGCTGAAATACTGCTCACTCCTGGGGGTGGAGAGCAGTCATGCTGCCCCTGGTGCTGGCTGGGCTGAGTCCTGGTGCTTTGTTTTCTTTTGCAACAATATGCAAAAATAATGCAGACTGTTTTTGAAGACAGAAACCCAGTTGGCAAGAACTCCCAGAAAACTGGGTGCACCTGAATCTGTGTTGGCCCCAGCAACACTCATTCAAAATCTGAAAAGCTGGAAGCCCACAGCCTGCTTGGTGATGTCAGGTGGCAGCAGCCCCATTTTACAGACAAGGAAATGGGCTAGGAGTTAAGTTTTCATATTTTCTCTTCCACCTAATACAGTGAGGCCCTAGAAGAGGCCAGGATACAGGTAATAAAGGCTCCAGCCCCTGAGAAAAGGGTCCCAGCGGAGCTGAAAAGGTTCCCTTCTACATCCTGGGGATGCTTCCATATGGAAAGGACTCACTGATTCCCAGGAAAGGGTTCTGCATGGACACAGTGCTGGAACAAGTCTGGCCTGGGGCTCCTGGACAATCAGCCACTCATCACATTTGCACAGGACTTGGGTGGAGCATGTGGGAGATGTCTAGATGTCTCAGACACTGCAATGCCCTAAAGGTGTGTCAGATGCAGAGAACAAGGACAGAGGCCCAAGTGTGGCTTGCTTTGTGCTCCAGTGGGAAGGGGTGTGGACAGGTGGTTTATCCCCTCCCCTCCTCCTCCCCCAAGCCCTCAGCCACCCTCCTCTCATGAACACCTCCTCCTGAGACAGGTCACCATGCTCAATCACACTGAAGTCTAAAAGTGCCCCCTGGAGTAAGAGAAATAAAACACACACGCGCGCGCGCACACACACACACACACACACACACACACACACACACAAACTTGCTGACTGAAGCAGTAACTACCACCAAGTACCTGCGAAGTGCTTTGTAGGAATCATCTCACTGAATCCTCCCAAAACCTGAAGAGGTTATTGTCCTTCCAATTTCACACACAAAGCCAAACCCTCAAGAGTCAAGGCCCAAGTTCACATCCTAGTAAGTGGTTGAGCCAGGATCCAAACCCCCATAATCTGGCTCTGTGTATCTGTGCTTATCTTGATTATAATATATTACAATATTGAATGCAATCTGGCAGCCAGTCAAATATGATGGTGAAGAAATCATGTTGTGATATGGTCTGGCTGTGTCCCCACCCAAATCTCATCTTGAACTGTAGCTCTCATAATTCCCAGGTATCATGGGAGGGACCCAGTGGGAGGTAATTGAATCATGGGGGGGGGGGTTCTTTTCCATGCTGTTCTCATGATAATGTACAAATCTCATGAGATCTGATGGTTTTATAAAGAGAAGTTCCCCTGCACTCACTCTCTTGCCTGCCACCATGTAAGATGTGACTTTGCTTCTCCTTCACCTTCCACCGTGATTGTGAGGCCTCCCCAGACATGTGATACTGTAAGTCAATAAACCTCTTTCCTTTATAAATTACTCAGTCTCAGGTATGTCTTTATTAGCAGTGTGAGAACAGACTAATACAAGTTGGAATTGTGGATTTTCATGTAACCATTTAACCCCACAGACTTTTAAAAAAAAATTTTATTTTAAGTTCCAGGGTACATGTGCAGAATGTGCAGGTTTGTTACATAGGTAAATGTGTGTCATGGTGGTTTGCTGAGCCTATCAACTCATCGCCTAGGTATTAAGCCCAGCATGCATTAGCTATTTTTCCTAATGCTCTCCCTCCCCCAACCCTACTCCCCAACAGGCCCCAGTGTGTGTTGTTCCCCTTCCTGTGTCCATGTGTTCTCATTGTTCAGCTCCCACTTATAAGTGAAAACATGCAGTGTTTGGTTTTCTGTTCCTGTGTTAGTTTGCTGAGGATAATGGCTTCCAGCTCCATCCATGTCCCTGCAAAGGACATGATCTCATTCCTTTTTATGGCTACATAGTATTCGAAGGTGTATATGTACCACATTTTCTTTATCTAGTTTATCACTGATGGGTATTTGGGTTGATTCCATGTCTTTGCTATTGTGAACAGTGCTGCAATGAACATATGCATGCATGTATCTTTGTAATAGAATGATTTATATTCCTTTGTAATCCCACAAACATTTATTAAGAACCTACTGGAGAAAAGATGGGGGGTCACCCAGGTTGCCATCAAATCTTGTATTTTCCACAACTACTTTCTGTGCTTTAGAACCATGGTTCCCAACCTAAGGCATCCAGAGGTCCCATGGTGAACTCAGGGTAACTGCAGTGTGTTTTGAAATTTAGAGGGAAACATTCTGTTACTTGACATCTATTGGATACTGCAGGAACTGCTAACTGGAGAAAGTTCCCAGTTTCAACACTGAGTTACACAAGATTCCTTTCAGTGACAGCCTATCTCTGTGAAGCTGAGTTTTTGGCAGTTGCTGTGATTAGAACAAACATACACTAGGAAAAAATCAAGGTGTGGGATGGAACTGTGGGTGGCAGAGTTCTATCTGATTCCAAGTTTGAGAAGTGCAGTGCCCCATAGGCATACACATCTCATTGTTAAAATAATTAATGGGAAGGCCATTAGGCTGAGATGGCTCTCACGCCTTGGGTTTCTATGTAAGCAAATCAAAACCCAACCCTATGTAAACAGTAAAATGAAACTGAAGCTTAACCAATTAGAAATGCCAACTAACATCTAATAGGGACTTTCCACTTTGACTTGCTTCTTCACACCCCTGGGTGGAGCACTGAACCACTTTTGGTCTGGTACTGCTGGACTCATGAATTGCTGAATGTTCAAGTAAGCGCTTTAAAATGTTAATGGGCCTACATTTATTTTTTAACACCATTAACACTGTGATTAAGAACAAAATAAACATATTGGTACTGCGCAGTGGCTCACGTCTGTAAATCCTAACACTTTGGGAGGCCGAGGCAGGTGGATCACCCGAGGTCAGGAGTTCAAGAGCAGCCTGGCCAACATGGCAAAACTCCGTCTCTACTAAAAATACAAAAATTAGCTGGGTATGGTGGCATGCGCCTATAAGCCCAGCTACTCAGGAGGCTGAGGCAGGAGAATCACTTGAACCCGGGGATGGAGGTTGCAGTGAGCCGAGATCACGCCACTTCACTCCAGCCTGGGTGACAGAGTGAGACTCCATCTCAAAAACTAAGCTAAACTAAACTAAACTAAAATAAAACAAAAATGTTTTTACTCTTTCGATTTATGAGTTATTTTTTAAAGCACCTGCTAAGTTATTAGGATTAATACTTATTGTTTGGACTTAGTCACTTACTCTATGAACTCGTGAAGTCTTTCTTTTGGCCTAGGAGCACCATCAAGAAAATTGCTGAGACATTAAAGGCACTGTGCATGGAAAATGTTTGGACACCTCTATTCCAGAATGTCTGCGTCCTCCTACTCCCAACCATAATTATAAGTTCCTGAAACGTAGGAGCCTTCTCATACTGGTCAATACTTTGGTGTCTCCTCTGCATACTTCACTTGCTGTAGAGACTTTTTAGTACTCGTTGATGATTTACAACAGAATGTGGCCATGAGAGGCCCTCAATGATCCACAGCAGCACAGCGAGGTTTGAGTGATTACAGGGAGACCACTGACACGCTAACTCGCCGGTTCCACAGGCTGGGAGGCAGAGATGCGCACAGTGCCTTTCTGACCTCGAGAGTAAATCCATTTTTCTGAGCTCTCTGATGCACTGTAAAATAATCAATTGCCTCTTAAAGGGCTTTTGCGTACAAATGAAGATAGAAAATTTAGGTATAAATCAGTTTAAACTCCTCTGGATTTAGCAGACTTCCTTGCCCATGAGGTTGGGGCTCCGTTTTATTGAAGCTTGAATCTATTATCATTTCATCTATTTAGATGGTTGTTTCCATTCTCAAAAGGCAGACTCACAGATCCAGAAGGCAGAGACCCTTAGGTCACAGGGGAGGATTAGCTGGTGGCAGCAGAGTTCAAGTTCCAGCCCCCTGGGGTATCTCCCAGCTGTACCCTACAATGAGAGTTGCAGGCCTGTCTTCTGTATCTGCTCAGTAACCGGGAGAGTGCAGATAACCTGGTTGCTTGGCAACCACTGCCATCCAATACTGGGGCCAGCAGAGGAGGTGTGTGTCCGGTGTGAGGTTGACAGTCTAATCTCGGGCGTGTGCCAGCCTTCCGTGTAGGTATCTCAAGACAGGACAGGCAGGAGAGATTCCACCCAGGTACCTGCCCCCATGGAGCTCTGGTCCTACTAAACTGCAAGATGACATCTGTAACATAAAAGTACCATTGGGAACCATGTGACATACTTAATGGAACTGTCATTCAACACTGGTAAATAGTTATGGTGGGAGCCTCCCTTAAAGACCAACCAATCTGCAACAAGGAGTAGTGGCTGTTCTGCTGGGGCTGTGGACAGAAGATAGGAATGTGGGTCCAAAGAGAACTCTTGTCCTATATTTTTGCCAGACAAGAGAAGAAAATCACAGAATCATTTTTCTGCTTTCTCAGTGCAGTAAGACAAGCCAATCATCAAGGGTTTTATGAGTAGAACTTGCCAAATTATTCTGTTAGCTCATTGAGCAACTTTTGTATGCAGGTTAATTTCTACTTGAAGAATAAAAAGAAATGTAAGTATTTATTTAAATAGAGTATAAGTGAGGTATAGGTAAAATACAGTGACTAAAACAAAGCTACCTGCCTTCTTCAAGGGCTTAAAGCCCACAGAATGTACTCTGTGGAAGTCAAAGCACTTATAGAGTACATTAAATCCCAACTTCTAAGGATAAAGCCAGTGAATTATTCCCCTTCAGTTCCCTCTCTGCTCTACAAAAAAGTACTCAGCACAGAAAAAGTACTCAGGTCTAAGCAATTCTCTTCTCCTTTAGATTTCCTTTCACTCCGTCTTTCCCTCAATCACCAGCTTATAAGACTCCATGACTCCATTCCCTTATCCTATCTGTTGCCCCAGGCCAGGGAGTTTGGGTAATTCCTTTTTTTTTTTTTTTTTTGAGACAGAGTTTTGCTCTTGTTGCCCAGGCTAGAGTGCAATGGCACTATCTAGGCTCACCACAAACTCTACCTCCCAGGTTCAAGCGATTCTCCTGCCTCCGCTTCCCAAATTACTTTATTTTTTTTAAACAACAGCCTCAGTGTTCAGAATCCTCGGTTCCCTTGTATTTCCAGATCCTAAAGGATCATGATGTCGAGTTGTTCTAAGGAGCCTCCTATCCGTCAGGTCCAAATCCCCCTTTTCATTTATAAGCAAGCAAACTGATACACCTGTGCACTAGATACACACCGCGTAGGTGAAAGCTGACTCCAGGTAGCACCTGGCCTGACTGTGAAGGAATCTCGCGTACTTCGGAGGACATGCGGCTGTCCCTGCCAGCAGCCAGCAGCCAGCGTCAGCAGAAGTGCCACTTGCCTGGGCAGACAGGTGGGCTAACGTTTGGGGCAGAATGTCTTCTTCCCAGCCATCATTGGCTCCTGCACCAGTGAACACCAGCTGCCCACAAAGCTCTGCTCCCCAACGATCCTCATTCTGCCATTCTTCCTGGGGGCTTTCAATGGGTGGTGCTCACCTCAACACACACCTTTACTTTCAGAGGCTGAATAATCAGCATATATGGGCATGTGGCAGGTGTAGACTTCATGTGCACCCCTGGTCTCGTGTCCCAGTCCTGACTCAGCCACCATCTGTGTGGCCTTGGGCACCATTTCCTCATTGGCAAAGCGAGATGGGACTACAACAGCTGTTCTGAAGCGTTTCTGAGGAACACCGGCCCTACAGGGGGTTCAAGATTGTGCCATGCATTAAAAACAGAAGCTAGGGTCAAGAAGTTTGGGAAATGCTGGTGAAAAATGTTAAAAAGCATCAATTCTGCATTCCATCCTCATTACCAGCCTCCATCTCATTTCTCAGAGTCCCAGGATAGATGATTAGACCAACGATATCCTCGCCTAATAGGTGTACTTCTGTGTGCTTCTGTTTTGATAGTTTTTGAAGCAATTTTAAACACTCAGTTACATAGGCATACACACAAGAAATTGAAATTGCAAGCAGCTTTCCCACATGGAAGAGGCTTCTCTAATGCAGCACAGTATTAATACTTCTCAGAGCCATTAATGTTTACATGAGCATCCAAGCAGCAACATAGAGCAATGCCCAGATAATCTGACAACTCCTTTTCATAGTCAAGGGAATGTCGGATCCTGATACCAAAGCCAGGCAGAGACACAACAAAAAAAGAGAATTTTAGGCCAATATCCCTGATGAACATCGATGCAAAAATCCTCAATAAAATACTGGCAAACCGAATCCAGCAGCACATCAAAAAGCTTATCCACCATGATCAAGTCAGCTTCATCCCTCGGATGCAAGGCTGGTTCAACATACGCAAATCAATAAACGTAATCCATCACATAAACAGAACCAACAACAAAAACCACATGATTATCTCAATAGATGCAGAAAAGGCCTTCGACAAAATCCAACAGCCCTTCATGCTAAAAACTCTCAATAAACTGGGTATTGATGGAACGTATCTCAAAATAATAAGAGCTATTTATGACAAACCTACAGCCAATATCATACTGAATGGGCACCAACTGGAAGCATTCCCTTTGAAAACTGGCACAAGACAAGGATGCCCTCTCTCACCACTCCTATTCAACACAGTGTTGGAAGTTCTGGCCAGGGCATCAGGCAAGAAAAAGAAATAAAGGATATTCTATTAGGAAAAGAGGAAGTCAAATTGTCTCTGTTTGCAGATGACATGATTGTATATTTAGAAAACCCCATCATCTCAGCCCCAAATCCCCTTAAGCTGATAGGCAACTTCAGCAAAGTCTCAGGATACAAAATCAATGTGCAAAAATCACAAGCATTCCTATACAACAATAACAGACAGAGAGCTAAATCATGGGGGAACTCCCATTCACAATCACTATGAAGAGAATAAAATACCTAGGAATCCAACTTACAAGGGATGTGAAGGACCTCTTCAAGGAGAACTACAAACCACTGCTCAATGAAATAAAAGAGGATACAAACAAATGGAAGATCATTCCATGCTCATGGTTAGGAAGAATCAATGTTGTGAAAATGGCCATACTGCCCAAGGTAATTTATAGATTCAATGCTATCTCCATCAAGTTACCAGTGACTTTCTTCACAGGATTGGAAAAAACTACTTTAAAGTTCATATGGAACCAAAAAAGAGCCTGCATAGCCAAGACAATCCTAAGCAAAAAGAACAAAGCTGGAGGCATCATGCTACCTGACTTCAAATATACTACAAGTCTACAGTAACCAAAACAGCATGGTATTGGTACCAAAACAGATATATAGACCAATGGAACAGAACAGAGGCCTCAGAAATAACACCACACATCTACGACCATCTGATCTTTGACAAATATGACAAAAACAAGCAATGGGGAAAGAATTCCCTATTTAATAAATGGTGCTGGGAAAACTGGCTAGCCATATGTAGAAAGCTAAAACTGGATCTCTTCCTTACACCTTATGCAAAAATTAACTCAAGATGGATTAAAGACTTAAATGTAAGACCTAAAACCATAAAAACACTAGAAGAAAACCTAGGCAATACCATTCAGGACACAGACATGGGCAAAGACTTCATGACTAAAACACCAAAAGCAACGGCAACAAAAGCCAACATTGACAAATGGGATCTAATTAAACTGAAAAGTTTCTGCACAGCAAAAGAAACTATCATCAGAATGAACAGGCAACCTACAGAATGGGAAAAAATTTTTGAAATCTACCCATCTGACAAAGGGCTAATAGCCAGAAACTACAAAGAACTTAAACAAATTTACAAGAAAAAAACAAACAACCCCATCAAAAAGTGGGCAAAGGACATGAACAGACACTTCTCAAAAGAAGACATTAATGCAGCCAACAGACACATGAAAAAATGCTCATCATCACTGGTCATCAGAGAAATGCAAATCAAAACCACAATGAGATACCATCTCACACCAGTTAGAATGGCGATCATTAAAAAGTCAGGAAACAACAAATGCTGGAGAAGATGTGGAGAAATAGGAAACTTTTACACTGTTGGTGGGAGTGTAAATTAGTTTAACCATTGTGGAAGACAGTGTGGCAATTCATCAAGGATCTAGAGCTAGACATACCATTTGACCCAGTGAACCCATTACTAGGTATATACCCAAAGGATTATAAATCAAGCTACTTTAAAGACACATGCACACATATGTTTATTGCAGTACTATTCACAACAGCAGAGTCTTGGAACCAACCCAAATGTCCATCAATGATAGACTGGATTAAGAAATTGTGGCACATATACACCATGGAATGCTATGCAGCCATAAAAAAGGATGAGTTCATGTCCTTTGCAGGGACATGGATGAAGCTGGAAACCATCATTCTCAGCAAACTATCACAAGGACAGAAAACCAAACACCACATGATCTCACTCATAGGTGGGAGTTGAACAATGAGAACACATGGACACAGAGCAGGGAACATCACACACTGGGGCCTGTTGGGGGGTGCGGGGTGGGGGAAGGGATAGCATTAGGAGAAATACCTAATGTAAATGACAAGTTGATGGGTGCAGCAAACCAACATGGCACATGTATACCTATGTAACAAACCTGCAAGTTCTGTACATGTACCCTAGAACTTAAAGTATAATGATAATAAAAAATCTAACGCCCCTTTCCAAACTACCATATTATTAATATTTTCCAAATACTGACACATACACACCCCTTCTGTTTAGAACTTAATCTTTGCCATTGCCCATGATATGCATTTTTTACTTTCCCATGTTTACCATGATTTACCTCACCAAAAGGACCCCCTGCATTTCCTCTGCTCAGTCATCAAGTTCAAACAAGTTCAGCCCCCCGTGCACATTCCCACCTTCCCTCCTTTGCTACCTGCCTCTCCAGTCCCCATTGTGCCACTCTTCTCCAAGGTCCAACTTAAGTCCCACCACCTCTGGGACATCCCCCCTGAGGACCCCAAGCCTTGTGTATCTCTCCTTCTCTAATACTTGCTGCCTGAGCCAGTTATGACTTTCCGAGCCTTAATCATATGACATCTGGAATTCTTAGGCATATTTTCCTGTGGAATATTGAGGTCCCAACTACTTGTAAACTCTATTACAGTGAGGTAGTTCCTCCAAACCTTCTGGGCTTCCATTTTGTTGTTGTTGTTGTTGTTTATATAAAACAGGGGCTGGGCATGGTGGCTCAGGCCTGTAATCCCAGCACTTTGGGAGGCCGAGGCAGGAGGATCACTTAAACCCAGGAGTTCGAGACCTGCCTGGGCAACATAGTGAGACCCTGTCTCTAAAAAAAATACAAAAAATAGCCGGGTGCTGTGGCATGCACCTGCAGTCCTAGCAACTCTGGAAGTGGAGGTAGGAGGATTCCTTGAACCCAGGAGTTTGAGACCAACCTGGGCAACACAGCGAAACCTCATCTCTACCAAAAAATTAAAAAATTAGCCAGATGTGGTGGTGCATGCCTGTAGTCCCAGTGACTAGGGAGGCTGAGGCAGGAGGATTGCTTCAGCCTAGGAGTCTGAGGCTGTAGTGAGCCATGCTAGCACCACTATACTCCAGCCTGGTGACAGTGAGACCCTGTGAAAAAAAAAAAAAGAAAGAAAGACAGGAAGAGAGAGAGAAAGAGAGAGAGAGAGAGAGAAAGGAAGGAAGGAAGGAAGGAAGGAAGGAAGGAAGGAAGGAAGGAAGGATAATAACAGTATCTACCTCAAAAGGTTGTTATGAGGGCTGCATGAGGCAATGCATGCAAGCTACTTAGCACAGTGCCTGGCACAGGAAGTGCCGAATAAACACTAGCTCAGCGGTTTTTAACCAGCTGCTGAAACCCTTGAGCACAACCAGGAATATCTATTTCTTGGTGTCCCCTACTGGCCCAGCGCAAAGACCATCTCCAATAAACCTCTGTTGCTTGAAGTTAGCGTAACAGGGAAAGGAAGAAAGAAGCCCAGAGAAGGAAAGTTTCACAGGACACTTAATTAAGATTTTCAAGGATATGATTGGTTATTTCACAGTGGATGGTGAACATTCGATTTTTTTGTTTGAGTGAAGGTAGAAGGTGAGAAATGGACTTCAATTCCAGTAACCGTGGCTGGAATTATCTGACGGTGCTAGCTAGCTACCAAAACAGCTATACATTATTTAAGAAATTGGCCATTTGAAACCAGCCTGGCCAACATGGCAAAACCCCGTCTCTATTAAAAATATAAAAATTAGCTGGGCGCAGTGGTGGGCGCCTGTAATCCCAGCTACTCGGGAGGCTGAGGCAGGAGAATCGCTTGAACCTGGGAGGTGAAGGTTGCAGTGAGCTGAGATTGTGCCACTGCACTCTAGCCTGGGCGACAGAGCGAGACTCCATCTCAAAAACAAACAAACAAAAAAAAAAAAAAAAAAAGAAAGAGAAAAGAAATTGGCCAAGGAAAATAATGTACTATTTCGTAGAGTCCATATCAATTGAATAGGTAACAACTCCATTTTTTCTTTTCAAAAAGAGAAAAGAAAGCTTCAGTAGAGAATATTGGGAAAGGATGCCAGCAGGCGAGCCAGACCAAGGGCTGAGTCTGACCTCAAAGCTCTACCACGTATCTGGACAAGTAACTTAATCTCCCTAATCCTCAATTTCCTCATCTGTTAAATGGGGATATAAGGGTATCGACTTCATTGGAGTGGTGAGAACCATCTTGAGAGCTTAGCACAGGGTCTGGGACACAGTCCATGTTCAATCAATTCTACCGATGGTCATTTTGTTGTTGTTACCAATGGCTGTTGTGGGTTATTCTTTAAAACAGTTGATAAACAGTTACTTGTAGTAGACAGTTGGTGAACAGGCCTGCCCATGGCATAGCAGGGAACTACTCAAGGTTCTGAAATTTGTAGACCAGGGACTACTCTGGTAGACACGAGGAGACAGCCCACTCCCTGTTGCCACACTAAGAGCTGCTTCCTAGGCTGGGTGCAGTGGCTCATGCCTGTAATCCCAGCTCAGGAGGCTGAGGTGGACAGATCCCTTGGCCCAGCAGTTCGAGACCAGCCTGGGCGACACAACAAGATGCCACCTCTACTAAAAAAATATGAAAATTAGCCAGGTGTGATGGTGTGCACCTGTGGTCCCAGCTACTTGGGAGGCTGAGACGGGAGGATCACTTGAGCACGGGAGGCAGAGGTTGCACTGCATGCCAGTCTGGGTGACAAAGCCAGACCCTATCTCAAAAAAAAAAAAAAAAAAAAGAAAAGAGAAAAAAGAAAATCTGTTTCCTCTGGTCAGTGTGTTTTGAATAGGTAACGACTCCTCCACCAAAAAATAAAAAGTTGTTCTTAATTACTTTTTTTTTTAATTTAAAAACTCAAGCACTGGTTGGCAGTATTGAAAAGAGTTTTGGTATTTCAAATATTTCAGCAAGTTTTTGTATCACTACACTGGAGAAATGAGAGAGGAGGAGCCTGTCTTCAGCAGACCCTGTTGCTGTACCCTGATGGAGAGAGAGCCTGCAGGAGCTGGCCTGTAGCTGCTGCTGCAGATCCTCTCAGATAACTGACTCTTGTCATTTCATATTGTGAGAGAGGGGGTAAGCAGATGAGCCAGGTAGGTAGAAACAAAGAAGTCAGGAAGATTTCCAGAGAAGAAGAGAAATAAGAAGGGCTAGGTGCAATGACTCACACCTATAATCCCAGCATTTTGAGAGGCCAAGGCGGGAGGATCGCTTGAGGCCAGGAGTTTGAAGCCAGCCTGGGCAACATAGCAAGATGCTGTCCCTACAAAAAAAAAAAAATTAAAAATTAGCCAGGCATGGTGACATGTGCCTGTAACCCCAGCCACTTGGGGGGCTGAGGCAGGAGGATTGCTTGAGCCCAGGACTTCAAGGTTGCAGTGAGCTATGACTGTGCCATTGCATTCCACCCTGGGCAACAGAGTGAGACCTTATCGAAAGAAGAAAAAGGGCTGGGTGTGGTGGCTCATGTCTGTAATCCCAGCACTTTGGGAGGTCAAGGTGGGTGGATCACTTGAGGTCAGGATTTCAAGACCAGCCTGGGCAACATGCTGAAACTCCGTTTCTACTAAAAATACAAAAATTAGCTGGGCGTGCTAGTGCATGCCTGTAATCCCAGCTACTCAGGAGGCTGAGGGAGGAGAATCACTTGAACCCGAGAGGCAGAGGTTGCAGTGGGTGGAGATCATGCCACTGCACTCTAGCTTGAG